>NC_000009.12:63542264-63842264 GCF_000001405.40 Homo sapiens | reverse complement strand
TTATATCACCCTGTCTCACTCAGTGTATAAAATTAGCACTGTAGTTAAAAGAAGGTAAAATAGATCTTGATTCCAAAGATACAGTATTACAGTGACATCAGTATATCTGAATATTCTTACATTTAATTGCAGAAGAAAATAGCCACATTTTTTAAAGCAAAATAATGTCTTTATATTTATAGCATATGTCAAATTTATTTTCAAATATTTTTTCTCCAATAGTTGATGAGGGCCCTAGTCCTCCAGAGCAGTTTATGGCTGTCAAATTATCTGATTCCAGGTGAACTTATATTGTAATATAATTAGTAACCAGTTATTTTAAAAATTTAATTGTATTCATTAAAAATTTTAGTTTCTGTCTTAAGCCCATGGTAATTTTGATATAAAAAACAAAATAGCTTTTTTGAAAAGTAGATTTTGTGATCTACTTTTAGTGGATTTCCTATCAATATATAATGCTAGGCTGGAAAAAAGATATGTAAGTTAAAAGATGAAGATTAATAATTTCACACACCAAATAAGATAGATTAAAAAATAAATAGTACAAAACCTGGTTCACTGTTGCTATGATATTTAAACTCACTGTTTGGAAGTCTAAAGACAAACAGGAAGACTAAAAAAAAAGGAATATTGTTGAAACCAGCAGAGAATGTTACAGCATCATAACGACCAAAGGAATATTTTTACTCACTATTTTTACAGTCATTTTATAAAGTAACCTTTTTTATTCTCCCCTTGTGCAGAAGTATAGAATGATTCTTCGGGTAAAAGATACTGAAAGTGAATTTACATATTTTAGTAATTGGTTACATCAACATGATAATGATTTCTGTTATATAATCATTAACTTATAAAGGAGTAAAAGTCAATTCTCGCATCTGTGGAGATTCTTGGTAAGGTAAAAGAAATCATAATTTTAAAAAATCACATTAAGATGATTATTTCTATACTTTCTTTGAAAGTCTGATAAGTAGGGTGAAAAAGAATAAAAGCAGAGGAAGAAAAATTCAATAGTTTTAAACTGCTTTACAATTATAAACAAAAAAGGATTATAAAGAAAACTGACAAATGAGAAAATATTTGCAACAATCTTAATAGGCAGTGAGTTCTTACTCTTCATATGTATCTTGTATAGAATTCATAGCACTGAAGACCCCAGTAGAAAAATTGCGAACAATCAGATCTGAATAGAAAAATGGACAAGGAACATTACCAGATAATCTAAAAACTAAAAAGGAAAGGAAAAGAAAAACAATTGTTATTCTAGTTAACTACTAAAATGCAAATTAATAGGATACTGTTTTTTTCATATCAGGTTTTCAAGTATTTTTTTAGAGTCATAACGTTTAAAAAAAAATCCATGATACAAAACATGCTCTGTTAATTTAAGAATGTAAATGGAAGCAGCATTTTCTGGAAAACAGTTTGATGACATAAAGTTTTAGTAATTTATTATTGAAGTTTTTAACTAAAGAGGTATAATTGAAGCGTGATGAATTTTGAAAATATTTATTATTTAATATATAAGGTACAATGTTTCTATTAAAAAAGCAAAATATAAAACTAAATTTAAAACTGTGCTGTCCAATATGGCAACAACTAGTCACATGTAGCTTTTTTTTTTTTTTTTTTGAAGGCACAGAGTCTCAATCTGTCACCCAGGCCGGAGGGCAGTGGTGTGATCATAGCTCACTATAACCTCAAATTTCTGGGCTCAAGCACTCCTCCTGCGTCAGCCTCCCAAGTAGCTGGTATTACATGTGCACACCACCATGCCCAGCTAACTTTTTAAATTTTTTGTAAAGATGGGGTCTCACTATGTTGTCCAGGCTGATCTTGAACTTCTTGCCTCAAGCAATTCTCCCATTGGCTTCCCAAAGCACAGAGATTACAGGAGTGAGTCACCACTCAGCCACATGCATCTTTTGAACACTTGGAATATGTCCAGTCTGGAATTTTAGATATGTACACACCCACACACATACACATGTCCTGTTTTGATGACCTATAATTAATTTTCTCTCAGTTTTTAACTTTTATCTATCTTATTAATGTACAGAATCACCCTGAAACCGGGCTGTGGAAAATATCTTGGTATAAATTCAGATGAACTTGTTGTTGGCGTTCAGATGCAATTGGACCAAGAGAACAATGGGAACCAGTCTTTCAAAATATGAATGCTGTTATTGTTTATAAAAACTTCCTGTCAGTTTAACACAAAGTCTGTAACAGTCAATAATAATATATTTAAAAAGAAAAAGTAGGATGCAATAGTATAATACATTAAATTGGAATAAATCAGTAAGAACACAGAGCCTTAAAGAGATCTCAAAATATAGTGCAACAAAAATAGCTTTAGTACTTTTGCCCACAATTATTTCTGTATACCCTTAGTGCCCGATATGGATCTCATTTCCATTGAAGAACCAGTCAATTTTAGGTCACAGAGTAGGAAAACAGAATCGTTCCTAAGTATCTTCTTTGTAGCAGAAATCATGGATGCTTTCAGAAACTTTAGCGACTGTAAGCGAACAGTGGAGCTAGCTAAGACCAAGTTGTGACAATTTGCTAATAAAATATAAATAATAATAGTTCATTGAAGTAAATTATCTCTAAAAGACTCAGTTCATAAGCTTAAAATAGTGTATGAAAAGATAGTTTTAATATAAGAAGAAAAAACATAATATACTAATTCTTAATTTTAGTAAGTAGACAGTTGTAGTGTATGGATGTTTTGTTAAATCTTTGTTGATACAGTATACATAATTTCCTTTTTCTGTTTGTGTGAGAAGTAAAGATTGAACAAAAATATGTGAGTGCTAAACTGTCTTTAAAAAGTAGATAACTATATCAAAAACAGTAAGGACCATTGGGCACCATGCAGAACAAGCAAATAGAAGATAAGCTCAGCCTTTGAGTAGCAGCTTTGGTTGTATACAATAATGAACTGAAAATAGGAACTCAGCAGTGTTTTCTAAGATGACAGATTAAACAAACATCCCACCAGAAAGAGGTAATCACTTAGACTAATTTCCTCATCCCCTAGGATAAAATCTTAAGTCAGTGACTTGAAAAATGTTTTGACCCAATCCATTGAGAAATGCATTTTTACATTGCAGCCCAGCACACACATATGTATAACTGAAGCAAGAGTTGTACTTAACAATACTTACTTATCCGTGTGTTATGCGTCTTGATATTTCTTATTCTCTTTTACCCCTTCCTCTGTGTGTCTGTGTGTATTCTTCCCCCCCCCACCCAATACCGTTCAGGAAACACTACATTGATTTCATTACCTGCTAATGTGTTGCAACCCCTTTGAGATGATCCTACTAGTTATGATGAGATGCTTCTAATAAAAGTTACACCAGTAGAAAATGCCAATATTTCATAAGACCAGGATGATGACTTAGATAGTACTAATAATACAACACTTTAGGAAACTTCATTTCATTTTATTTTTAGGAAGGACACTAAGTTTCAAAAATTTAAATTTAAATGAAAGAGGGTCTTAAAACTCTATTGCAAAAAGGACTCAGCTGAATAATCTGTGGCACAGGTTTAAATTGCCTTGGACCACACCGCCATGTTCCAGGGCTCACCGGGAGCCATCAAGATGAGAGACCACCCAGCCCTTGTGACTTGACTAAGAAATTAAATCCATGTTATCAGCACGTTTTTAACTGGATGTGATATAAGGTTAACATATATTGTAATCATTGTATTTATAAATATTTTATCTAAATGTTATTGTATTCCTAGTTTTCCAAAAGAATCAACCAAATACAAGTTATAAATAAACATTATATTTGTTACAGGAGTTAAGCTAACCAAATTTATAACCCAGATTTAGATACACAAGAAAATCAGTTTTTAAAGTTTTGTTTAATAGAAAGCAGTGTAATACATCAAACATTAAACAACTAAAAATGTATATGAATATTTATTTTCACACACAAAAGTCCCTCAGACATTGATTCTTAAATTCAAAACACCAAAGGCATTGTATATGCCTTTTCATGTTTTCTAATTGTGAAGAAAATAAATTTTACTTAAAATGCTAATATTTGAATAAAGTATGCATTCATAATTATGTTCTTGTCTTTAAAGCTAATTTTTCAAACAGAACTAAATCAGTTTTATCTTCAGTAGATCTTTTAGAAAGGAAGTAATCCTACCTCATCTAATTAGAATTTAGTCCTACTAGGAAGATACACTACAAATATTTATTGTGGCAATCTTTGAATAGCAAAATGAAAGGTGATTTTGGTTTCCTTTTCTATATGTTCTTGTATTATATTTTTCAGGTTTTTCTCTAAGTTCTTTTCTGTGATTTTTAAATCAGGGAGGAAAAATTCATTCAGTCTAAACACTTAATGTTTCTTCTACAAGAAGTATCCTCATGGCTATTTTGTTATTTTGTTTCACTTAGGGGAAAATGGCTTTGTTGGCCTCAAATAGATGCTTTATTAGATACAATGAAGCAGGGGACATAGAAGCAAAAAGTAAAACAGCAGAAGAAGAAATGATCAAGGTAATGATGACATTTTATACAGATGACTGCATTCACACATGCGATGTGACTGTATCTCTTTAAAATGTTAAGTCATCATTTACTGTCACTTTAAAGATTTACTTAATAGCTTTTTATAGTGTGGTGTTTCAAATAGACTCATTTTTAATTACAAATCCCATAGTTGATGGCTTGTTTATACAATGTGGTAGAGAAATCAGTGCATCTAGGAGCTACCTTGTCATTATCTCCATGGATTAGTATATTTTTCTGGTAGTTCCACATGCTCTTTTTATGCTTTCATTTTCTTGTTTTCTTGCTTGTATTTTAAAATCTAATTTTTAAAATAGATAACATGTACACGTGGTCCAACATTTTTAAATAAAAGCATAGGAAGTTGAAGACATATACCTGCCATGCATCTTACTCACCTGTGTCCCAGTTCCTGTTCCTCTTTCCCTTTGTTTTGTTTTTTTATAGCCTCCTAAAATTTCTTTATAAACATATGAATATATTTATAATTTTCAACTGTCTTACACTAAAGGCAGCCTCCTCTATTGTCTTCTCGACTTTGATTTTTTTTTTCCTTAAAATTGTGTCTTGGAGAGTTTTCTACTATTAGTTTGAATGTAGAAAGTTTTCTCTTTTTCTTGCTTCTCCTCTCTTTCTCTCTCTCTCTTTTTTAACAGCCACATAATATTCCATTTTAGGGATGTACCTTTATTTATTTAGTCTTTTATAGATGGAAATTTAGGCTGTTTCCAGTCTTTTGCTCTTACAAACAGTGCTGCAGTACATAACATTGAATATACATCAATTTGTAGATGTGTGGGTGGACCTGAAGATAAATTTCAAGAAGCAGAATTACCAGGTCGGGGTATACGCGTTTGTATTTACATAATGCTTGAGCTTCTGTGATGATAATCACTCTATGAAACATAAAAAATCATAGCAGAACTTCTGGGGCCTTAGCCCTTACATTTTAAAAATATTTTTAGTAATAGTACCCGTCTTCTTTGCATTAGGAGAAACATGAATCACATAAAACATGATTTTTATTTTATTTTTAAAATTTGTGTGCGTCACTAAGCTGGAAATAAAAGTTCCTTATTCCAGGCTAAATTCCCTCATCCGTAGTCAGACGCGTTATCCATTGCGCCAGTGGTCTGTGCCCTCCCTAATCCTACTCTTTGTTTTACATCATTGTAAAAGTTACACAGACATCTTCATATCAAGGTGAAATTCTAAATAATACTGTTAATATAACCTAGATAAATCAGGTAGTTAACTGGAATTTGATGAAAACATTTAAGGCTTAATTTTTTAGACTCACAAAAGCCACTGATCTTTAATGATAAACATATATCAGGATGTGTCTAAAGAATAACTCCCCCCTTGACACATGGTTTTTCTGTGTCTTGGCATTCCATCGCAGTACTGAGCATCCTGAACCTTGCTTTGTTTGTCTCTTTTGGGAATCACAGGTTGCATCCAGTCTGACCCAGATTTGTTCTGTCAGACATTGTGGGGGCCAGAGTGGAAGGCTCTAAGAGAGGGGGCAAATGCCTTTTCTAAAATGCCCTTCGTTCTTATAATCAGAGCATAAAAATTTATGTTACATTTTTCTCTACTACCAGTGTAATTTAAAAGCATCTATCAATTCTCTGTATGTGCTTCATGTTAGATTTCCAGTCATGTGTTTGATTTTCTTTTTAGAATAGTCTTGATTTCAGATAATTTCAAATCTAAAGCTCAAACAATTTCAATCTAAAATGTAGGTATTTTCTTACAGTTAGAGAAGTGAAGTGTTATATTTTTTCATTGCATGCATCCGGCACATGCGTTGTAGTCTTGAATTTCCATAATGCTCCTGTGAGGTGGATGTGAGCTCAGCCTTACAGACAGTAAGACAGCCTCCGACCCTCCTTACATCCTCGTGGTTTTTGTCAGTCAGTTCATGGAAATCACAGTGATTTCAAGGTGTGGTAAGACAGGATGTGTACCCAGGCCCAGCTGACTCCAGAGGCCAGTCTCAGTATTTCATAGCACATTGCTTCTCAGGAAACAGGTCATTGAGGAAATGCAGATGGGTTTGTGACTTACATTTAATTTAATTTATTTATATTTTATTGTATCATGTTTAAATTATTTTTCATCTGGATATCATCACAAAAGTGTTATTGAAGGCAACAATTGCAAATATATGTGCAGTGCTTTGCACTTATACAAAGATACAAAGATACTTACACAAAGATTGCATTTTTCACTATTTAAAGCAATTTTCAGATGAAATACAAAGTTTTCTGGGTCTCTTTGGTTAGTCAAGTACTTGGAAGTTCTGAACAGTGATTATTTAGGACTCTTTTTGTACCATTTAATTACAGGCTCTCCTAATCTCTGTCAGCCCTTCACCTTTATGACCTTGCCTTATCTATCAGAACACAGATCCCTCTTACTAAAGGTAGCATTGTGCTACAGGCCTTAGCAGGGAATGTTTTCAGGTCTGGGACCCCTCTAATCAAAACTGTCACAAAGATGTCATTGGCACAAACATGTTATTTGTCATCACTTTCTAAGCAGCCCTGGAACTAGACTCTGGCCACAGAGATCCCTTAGGAGACATGAGTCCTTACCATTGCCAATTGCCTGTTCTGTGGGTGATCCTAATTGTTGAATGCAGATCAATTAACTTATGACATGTGATAGTAAACATCTATCCAAACTTAGGAGGATATAAGAAGCTAGTAAAAGAGGTGGGTTCCAATTAATTAAAAAGAAGTTGTGTAATGTTAAAAGTTTTAATACTTTGGTAATAGTCTGTGCAATCTAAAATAGCTATTAAGCTTTCAATTTGATCAAATGAACACTTGTCTACTAGGGATAATTTGATCCTAGTGTATTGACTTGGAGGACAAAATTAAATTAGTTAATGATTGCTTTACTGCCTAACAGGATCTGATGTGTAAAATGTTTCTGAAATAATTTTGTCTGTAGTGTTTCTGACACAAGGGCTGCGGAGGAAGCATGTGATAGCACTTACTCATATAGATTATATATATGAAGTAAAAACACATAGCCAGAACCTGTCTTTTTCTGAATATAGTTGCTCAGTTAATTTTTTCTTCTGCATAAGAAATCATCTCGAATGTTCTTATGTGATACGTAAAGTGGGGAAGGTGGAAGATAAACATATAACCCATTGGATTCTCTTTTCCAATATCTAGATTAGATCCTGTGCTGAAAGAGAAACCAAGAAAAAAGATGACATTCCAGAAGAAGACAAAGGAAATGTAAAACAATGTGAAATCAATTATGTGTATGTATGCTTTTCCTTTTAGACCTACAGATTTGACAGTGAAGTGCTTCTCAAAGTGCTTTCAAAATAAATTACCTAATTAGCTGGGGATGGTGAGGCATGCCTGTAGGCCCAGCTACTCAGGAGGCTGAGACAGGAGGATTGTTTGAGCCCAGGAGTTCAAGGCTGCAGTGAGCTCTGATCACCACTGCATTCCAGCCTGGGTGACAGAGCAAGACCCTGTCTGAAAAAATGAAAACTGATGGACAAGAAGAGGCAACACAACGTAGCCTCTAGGACAGAGCACTGAGCTAAATGCTTTTCTTTTCTTGAGGGTTCATTTTTCCTAATCATCCTAACAGCTCCCAAAGCTAGTCACTCAGGTTAGTCAATCTCTCTATTCATTCATAGAATGGGCGTGATGCCAGTCAAAGGCTGTGCTATGACCAGGACACAGGGGACTCCAGCCAGCATGCCCTAATAGAAGTGGGGCCTTCTGCTACCCAGTCAATGAGTGGCCCTCCTCTTGAGAGGTCACGAAGGTTATCTTTGTTGTTCAAAAGCTCCAGCTTATTTAAAAAAATGTAATTAGACTTTTTTTTTTCTCCCCCAAGACGGAGTCTCGCTCTGTCCCCCAGACTGGAGTGCAGTGCCACGATCTCGGCTCATCGCAACCTCTGCCTCCCAGGTTCATGTGATTCTCCTGCCTCAGCCTCCTCAGTAGCTGGGACTACAGGCACGCGCCACTACGCTCGGCTAATTTTTGTATTTTTAGTAGAGACGGGGTTTCACCATGTTGGCCAGGCTGTTCTCGAACTCCTGACCTCGAGTGATCTGCCTGCCTTGACCTCCCAAAGTGCTGGGATTGCAGGCATGAGCCACTGCGCCTGGCCTACAATTAGACTTTTTTAATAAGTGAAAAAGAAATTAACAGTATTTATAAATTTAATAGTAAATATGTATAATCAGAGTTTGAGGTATTTTTCAATGAAGGCATTTTCTTTGCAGAAAGAAATTTCAGAGCTTCCAAGACCACAAACTTAAAATAAGTAAAGAAGCAGTAAAATTCTTAAAAAGATGCAGAAAGATGGATTTTTGCATGAGATGCTTCTGGACAGGTAGCTATTTATTTACTTATTTCCACTATTTTCAGTAGCCAATAGAAATGGCATATAGAAAACCTACATTCTCTTAAATTACTGTAGTTTTCACATTTTTGCCTTTATTTCTAATTTATGAATGTGGCAATATTACCTAGAGAGGACATCATGAGTTTGGGAAAAGACTGTCAAGAAAGAATATCTAAAAATTATAACCGATTCTAAGCATATACTTTAAGAAATTCAGGTTTGACTGTATCTACTTCATAAATTTATCATTATCTTTTTATAACTATTAGAACCAGAGTTAGAAAGAAGCAGTTTGACTAATATAAAAATTATGTGGATTCTATTAGAGTAGTTCAGGTTCCTTAAAATAAGCATAGATGAACTAAAAAACTAAGTATAAAAGCTAAACAAGTGAAATTGAAGCAGTTTTATTGTAAGATTTGGAAGAGTGCAGGATGTTTATCATAGCACATTATTAATATTTATTACTATTCCTATGTACATAAGTGATGTCCTAGATTTACAACATAGAAAAACAGGTAGAGACATTTAGCTGTGAGTCTACAAGTATAAATCAATTAAGTGCCAGATTTTGATAATCACCAGCCGCTCATTCAAGTCCTATGTTGGAAAGTTACTCTTACCCTTTTTTTACATTACTTGATAAAGGCAATGTTTAATTACATATTTCCTGTTAACCAGCTGGTAGAGTTCATACCTAAAGTCAGTAAATAACGTTAAGAATTTTTTCCAGCTGAGCAAATGAGTATGTATCTAGTTGTAAGAAATCAAGAAGAGGATATAAAATATAATCAGGATGTGGAGTCTAAAATGGAATACGCTTTATGTCCTGTAACTTTTTTCACTTGTAATAATACAGCATTCTCACCCTGTTAAATGGAAATTTAGAGCACCCTTAAATTCCAGAATAATTAAAATTGCTATTTGGATTGAAAAAGCCCTTAGGCAACATTTATTGAATATTAGGAAATAACTTTTATAAGATTAGAATCCATTTTTTATAGAAACCAAATTTAAAAGTATACATATTTTAATATAAGTGTTGTGGTAATACACTAACCAAAATTGAACACACAGTTTTAAAGCTTTTTATATTTAGTAGCAATTGAATATATATGACATGTTTTACATAGATTAATTTTACTATTTTTCTTTATTTAAACAAGAGAACCAAATTGAAAGCCGACAGATACTGCAAATGACTGGGATTTTTGTTTCTGCCTTATCTTTTTGTGTTTTTTTCTGAATAAAATATTCAGAGGAAATGCTTTTACGGAGTTCTTGAGTTGTTGTGAACTTATTGTTTAGCTAGTAGCTAGTTTAACCAGGATTAAACAAGTTTAATCAGGATTCTTCACGGATGTACTTTTTAGCTAACTACAGTTTTTCACATGGAAATGAAACTTACAGTAAACACTTAATGTACCACAGAATTTTTTTCTGGATTTCCGGTGCTGAAGCATGAAGTACTAGAAACCAATTCTTCCTGCGCTACTTGCGGAATCTTTCTTACTGGATCATAATCTTACTTTACTTTATACAATAGATGCTTAATCAGTGCCTTTAATAGGAAGTGGGAAATTCCAAATCCAATCAACAAGGCTTTGATTCTACCTCCTAAGTACTACCCAAATCACAGACAATCCAAATATCAGAACTAGGGGGCTGGGCAGAGAGGACAAATCATCTATTAGGGAGTGGGACAGAAAGTGGAAACATTACAAAGGAGCAAGTAGGCTCAGAACAGAGGGGAGAGTAGTACTGGGGAAACTCCCTACTGAGGACAGGTTTGCCACAGTGGATATGTATGTGATGCTTTTGTCCTCATGGGCTGGAATGGAAGCTGATAAAGAAGTTCAGATGCTACGTGTTGCTTAGGTCTGCTTTGTTGAAGCCTGTCTCTTTCAGAGTTCCTAAACACAATATTCCCGTGGCATCTAATCCCAGTGAGTGCTCCAAATCCAGGCTGTGTATCAGATGCCACGGGAAATTCTGCCTCAGAACTGAGGTTGGTTCAAGCATCTGGATGATGTCAAAAGTCCAAGTTGTGTGCTGGCCTAACCTGAAAGACCCTGTCTAGTTCTGGCCTTTAAATTCCTTCTGTCACCAAATCTAGAGTTACATGGCATCTGTACAAGCTAGGTAGCTGAGGCATGGGATCAAGCTCTATAAAGGAGCTTTTGGAGCTTTTGTTGTAGGTCTAGCTCCAACTTGGCACTCCAGTTCCAATAGCTGGACTTTCTCTCATCGTGTGTTCTGATCCCTGGATTGGGAACAAAGTAACCACTCTGATCTCACAAAGCAGTGGTTCCAGTTCCCAACTGGTGACTATTTTGCCTCCCACGGGACATTTTTGTTTTCACAACTGGAATACGGTGTTAGAGAGTAGAGGCTAGGGATGCTGCGAAGCATGTGGCAGAATCCTGTTCCGCCCAGAATGCTAACAGTGCCAAGGTTATGGAGCCTTCCCACCCGAGGGCTTGGTCTATTCCTTGCTTTTGCCAGCTCCCTAACCCTTAAACACAACAGTTCAAATCTATATGCATAAGCATCTCCTAGGGACCCGCACGTTTCCAATATCGACTACTGAGACCCATCCGTAGAGATGTAGGCTTAGGAGGTCTAGGATTGGGCTCAAAATTTGCATTTTAACAAGTACTCCAGGTCATTCTGAAGCAAGTGATACAAACCACAGAATGAGGAACACCGCCTTCAAGAGACTGAATCTTGCTTCCCAACACTAGCTTGGTATCTGAGACCATCTGCCTGCTGACTGGCTTTCCTGGCACAAACATTCTGCATGTAGGCACAGTGTGTTCCTGGACTCCATGTCAACCCGTTCACCCTCATGTTCCCTTGGTTCCTGTCCCCAGTCCAGCGAGCAGAACTGATTACAGATCTTGACAACAGAAGATACAGATTTAAAATAACTTGCCTGTTCCCGTGGACTTTATCCACTAGTGAAGGAGGACAAGTGGACAAGGGGAGAGGGTAGGTGGGGGCTTCTTCCCTATTCCTCCCATTCCACTTTATACAAACCCCAGCTAGATCACTGGGAGAGCAACGGGGGTTAAGAATGACTCCATCTAAATATTGTCATCTGGTCCACTCTTCTTCCATCTTGTACACAAGGATATCATGAGTTTTGTTTAAATTACTGGGAATTTCGTCTGCTCAGTGTTTGTTTTGTCTGCAGCCATTCCCAGAATTCTAGGGCAAGACTAGCTTCTTTGCCAATGGGGTGAACAGGAAGGAACCCAAGTAGGAATTGCCTTTTTAAAAAAAATCCCTTCCCACCCTCTTAATTACGTAATGCATGCATTTTTATAGCTTTTTTGCTCATTCCATTACCTGAGGTCAGCCACTGATATTTAACCCATCCTTAGCCTCGGAGGAGGACAGAGGAGCACTCGTCATATTGATTTCGCTAGCGGTGACATGATTTCCTCCTGTGCCACTCAAATTTCTCTCCTTCTTTAACTTGATGCTCAGTAGGTTGTGTTTCACTCGTCTTTGCAGATTGTTAGGAAGATGAGAATTAGCTTTCATTTTTGATGTTGCCATAGAGAAGACTCCATGGTAATGTTTATTTGCACAATCAACTTTTTCTTTTCCCCCAGAAATTGCAAATTCTTATGTGAGAGGCAGCTTTCCGGAGTCTGCAAGCATAGATTATCGTCTCTCTTTTGATGGTAAATTTCTTATATCCTCACCAACAATAAAATACTTACATATAATTTTGGCATGTCATATTGATTGCCAACTACAAGTAAGAATATTCCTTGATTTTAAATCTAGATTAATTATGAAAATTTGAGTAGCCACAAAAAATTATTGTGTACAAATTTATAGACCTCTTCTTAGGATTAAATGAGTTAATATTAACTAATATTTGTTGTGTAGTTAAGGTATGGCAGAAGCTTCCTATGTACTATTTCATTTTATACTTAAAACAATATTCCATGCAAAATGCTATAATTTCCCTATACCTCCAATTTGCACATGATAAAACTGGGCCTCGTAAAGTTTTCACCCCAGAGTTCTCTGCTTAGTAAGAAGTAGAAGGAAGTCTAAACCTAGGTCATCTGATTTCAGAGCCCATATAGTTAAAATGCTCTAAATGCAGCTTCCCATGGTGATGGTGACTATGAGAGCCTGTCACATATGATGTAGGACCCCAGTGCTTCCCTGTAACATGTGCAAGATTCCTGTGATGACGGTGACTATGAAAGCCTGTCACATACGATGTAGAACAGTGCTTCCCTGTAACATGCGCAAGATTCCCATGATGATGGTGACTATGAGCCTTTCACATATGACGTAGGACAGTGCTTCCTCTGTAACATGCACAAGATTCCCGTGATGATGGTGACTATGAGAGCCTGTCACATATGATGTAGGGCCCCACTGCTTCCTCTGAAACATGCGCAAGATTCCCGTGATGATGGTGACTATGAGAGCCTGTCACATACGATGTAGGACAGTGCTTCCCTGTAACATGCAGAAGATTCCCGTGATGATGGTGACTATGAGAGCCCGTCACATATGATGTAGGACAGTGCTTCCCTGTAACATGTACAAGATTCCCGTGATGATGGTGAGTATGAGAGCCTGTCACATATGATGTAGGACAGTGCTTCCTCTGTAACATGCACAAGATTCACCCGTGGATCTTATTAAAATGGAAACTCATAGACCACACTTTGACTAGCTAAGATAGGAGCATTTAAATGGATGTCTTGGTGACAGTGCTAAGATGCTACTGTTCATGTGGGCACTGGCTCACCATATTAATGAAGCTTAGGACCTCCAGTCCCGGCTGGAAAAGAAATACAGATACATAGGATGTGACTGTGCATATGGAATGTCTGTTGTGTTCTGGACATTGTACTAGACAATAGAGATAAAAAGTCAAATATCCCTTGCCTCTATCTGAAAGGAGCTTCCTACTCAGTGGCTTCTGACTGCAGTGTATATGTTCTTTTCTGTCCTGGGTGGGTGAGCTCTATCTCAATGTTGGTAACTGAACACTGCCCAATGGGTTTGATGAGGGAGATCATAGCTAGCTGTGCTCCCACAAAGCTATGACCATAGCATATCTCGTGATGCCATTTCCCCCTTGTCAGAAGGGTCCCTCCAGTATCATACATGCTCCCCATGATTATAAATTCTTCCTCTTTGCACTAAATGTTCCTAAATCTTGCAAAGATAAAAACATAAACCACATTCTCATCATATTAGTTATATAAATATATATGCACCCAATACAGGAGCACCAAGATTCATAAAGCAAGTCCTGAGTGACCTACAAAGAGACTTAGACTCCCACACATTAATAATGGGAGACTTTAACACCCCACTGTCAACATTAGACAGATCAACGAGACAGAAAGTCAACAAGGATACCCAGGAATTGAACTCAGCTCTGCACCAAGCGGACCTAATAGACATCTACAGAACTCTCCACTCCAAATCAACAGAATATACATTTTTTTCAGCACCACACCACACCTATTCCAAAATTGACCACATACTTGGAAGTAAAGCTCTCCTCAGCAAATGTAAAAGAACAGAAATTATAACAAACTATCTCTCAGACCACAGTGCAATCAAACTAGAACTCAGGATTAAGAATCTCACTCAAAACCGCTCAACTACATGGAAACTGAACAACCTGCTCCTGAATGACTACTAGTTACATAACGAAATGAAGGCAGAAATAAAGATGTTCTTTGAAACCAACGAGAACAAAGACACAACATACCAGAATCTCTGGGACGCATTCAAAGCAGTGTGTAGAGGGAAATTTATAGCACTAAATGCCCACAAGAGAAAGCAAGAAAGATCCAAAATTGACACCCTATCATCACAATTAAAAGAACTAGAAAAGCGAGAGCAAACACATTCAAAAGCTAGCAGAAGGCAAGAAATAACTAAAATCAGAGCAGAACTGAAGGAAATAGAGACACAAAAAACCCTTCAAAAAAATTAATGAATGCAGGAGCTGGTTTTTTGAAAGGATCAACAAAATTGATAGACCGCTAGCAAGACTAATAAAGAAAAAAGAGAAGAATCAAATAGACACAATAAAAAATGATAAAGGGGATATCACCACCGATCCCTCAGAAATACAAACTACCATCAGAGAATACTACAAACACCTCTACGCAAATAAACTAGAAAATCTAGAAGAAATGGATAAATTCCTCGACACGTACACTCTCCCAAGACTAAACCAGGAAGAAGTTGAATCTCTGAATAGACAAATAACAGGATCTGAAATTGTGGCAATAATCAATAGCTTACCAATATTAGTTATATAATAATGATAAAAGTTCCTTACTTTTCTTTCTTTCTTTTTTTTTTTTTTTTGAGACGGAGTCTTGCTCTGTTGCCCAGGCTGGAGTGCAGTGGCGCGATCTTGGTTCACTGCAAGCTCCGCCTCCCAGGTTGACAGCATTCTCCTGCCTCAGCCTCCCGAGTAGCTGGGACTACAGGCACCTGCCACCATGCCTGGCTAATTTTTTGTATTTTTAGTAGAGACGGGGTTTCACCGTGTTAGCCAGGATGGTCTTGATCTCCTGACTTTGTGATCCGCCCACCTCAGCCTCCCAAAGTGCTGGGATTACAGGCGTGAGTCACCGCGCCCAGCCCAAGTTCCTTACTTTTCATGTGTTTAATATTTTCTCCCAGTTTATAGAATATATTGATTGAGAATAAATTTTAGCCACGCATATCTATTAAAAACTTCATGATACACTTTGCTATTTTTAAATTTCTTATGCTCTTATAAAATGTGTGTTCTGGACTCATGTTGGCTTCCATTTCTTCCCTCTGGCTTCTGTTAGTTTAGGCTATGAGCAGAGATGGACAAGGTGGCTACTGTAATGGATCAAGGCTATGAGCATCTAGTGAAGTAGGATGTTAAATCTGTAAATATCAGAATGAATCCAAACTTATCAATTCAAAACTGCATTGTAAAACAGCTCAAAAAAGACTAAAAACACAGCTCTACACTTTAGGAGGCTGAGGCAGGCAGATTGCTTGAGCTCAGGAGTTGGAGACAAGTCTAGGAAACATGGAAAAACCCTGTCTGTACAAAAAAATATATTTTTTAATTAGCTGGGTATGGTGGTATGAGCCTGTGGTCGCAGCTTTTCAGGAGGCTGAGGTGAGAGGATTTCTTGAGCCTAGAAGGTAGAGGCTGCAGTGAGCTCTGATCACGCCACTGCATTCCAGCCTAGGTGACAGAGTGAGACCCGTTTCAAAAACAAACAAAGAAAAATAACTGAAAAAAACAGGTCTAAACGAAGGTGGCCAGAAAAGTAGCTCAACTTGTTCCTGTCTGGTTAAATACAAACATAAATGAACTACTTATATGCTTCAGTGGCTTCATAATGCTGAAAGCAAAGTCAATTGTTCTAGCAGGTTCTGGAAACCTTATCATATCATGGGGTTCAATGAAAATATCAAATCATAAATAAAATAATCAAATCTGAAAGTGAATCTTGTTTCAAAGACCTCAGAAGCCACTGTGTCGGAAGCTCTTTTCAAATACAGACAAGGGATTATTTGACTCCTTATCTCTGTTGTCTAGCACAATGTCCAGAACACAACAGATATTCCATATGCACAGTCACATCCTATGTATGTGTATTTCTTTTCCAGCAAGGACTAGAGGTCCTAAGCTTTATTTATATGGTGAGCGAGCCAGTTCCCAAATGAGCAGGAGAATCTTAGCACAGTCACCTACACACTCATTTCAATGCTCTGGCCCCTTATCCAAGCTAGTCAAAGTGTGGTCTATGGTTTTGCATTTTAAGGAGATCCCCGGGCGAATCTTGTGGCTGTCAAAGGCGGAGAAGCACTGCCGAAAAGGTGAACTAATTTATCGAGGTAGGCTGGCTATTTATTTATTTATCTTGTTGATGGGAAGATTCAAATTGACATACACAATCACCTCCATAAAGATTTCAGGTAAAAAACAAAGGTTTAGATATCAGATGTGTTTTACAATTACCACACCACTCTTTACTACAGCATCCAGTAGCACATTTCCAATAGACTTAGGTGAAAATTTCTAACTCATGAGCCTTCTGTCAGTACTTTTAAAATTGGATACTCAATAAATAGTGGCCAAATTGAATCTCTTACAGGCATCTCACTCAAACTGCAGTCATACTTTCCAATAGGCCCCATAAAAATCCTTGTTCTGGAGCAATCTAATATATTTATCCACCTCTTTAGACACTTAGGTAAGTATAATAATACAAGTTTGTGTGTGTGTGTGTGTATTGTGTACCTTGTGGCCTCTTGCCCAGTTTCTGCAACACCTGAAGCTGAGGCAAGTTTAATGTAAATAACGTCCAGCAATGTTAGAAATGTTGACTTTTATGTGTCCATCAGGAAAAAAGGATGAATGTTATTGTAGAGGAAATTTTCATTCTGGAAAAAATGCATACTGTTTGAATATTACTTTCATGCTTTCCACAGATATTATACACAGATATTATATTCCAAGGGTTATGTTTCAAAGTCATCAAAAATAGAAAATACCTTTTATATTTCTAGCTGAAAATAATAACAGTGATTAGCCTACCTTTGGAGAAATGTGATAAAAATACTAATGACCATCACAACTGATTAAAAGCATAAAATGTGCAATGATTTAAACTACATGTTCTTTATATGAATTATATGCATAGAAATATAGACACATTTGATAAATTCTATTTAAAGTCTGAGTGCTTTGGTAAATGATTCAGTCATCTGTAGATTGAAGGGATTACTTTTATCTGCCTTCATAGTGAGAATTAGATTTCTATTCTTTATAAAGCAGGGAATATAGATTGTGCATGGAGTAAAAGCATTCAATCATTATTAATAATGATGGTAGCGGCGCTGCAGAGGAGAAAGCCTGTCAGAGTAACGTATTCAGTTTTACATCATAATCAGAGTGTGTCGATCTCTGCTGAAGGCAGAATTAAAAAGCCCTTCAACATTTTTTAAATAATAGATGAAAAACATATCAGAGTCACTTTTAAAAATTTGAATTGACGATTCCACATAACAGGAAAAGGACCAAGAACATCTTAAAGAAATACTTCACGATGAAAGTGATGTTTTAAGTGCAATTTCATCAAGGAGAAGTTTTTCCAGAAAGTCTTTTGACCTCAGGAAGAATCTCATTAGTTTACTCTGGTAAATAGTTTCTAGTAAAATGAGAAAGAGTTGACTTTTTAAAAACAATAAAAAATTTACACGGTTTAATCTCATGTTGTGATTTCGAAAGTGCTGCTTGGGCCCTCATAGTTATGCATGTGTATTTATACGCATTTTCTTGGCTCACTCAAACGCCAATAAAATACTTTACTATCCAGGCTCCTTAAAAGCCAAATTAATTTCTAAAAGTGAGGATTGTATGTATTCTGTGAGGTGTGTGCAGGTGTATGCATGATATGTGTGTGTGGTCTGTGTGTGTAGTAGGTACACGGGGTATGTATATGTGTGTGTGGAGTGTATTGTGGGTGTTATGTGTGTATACTGTGTGTAGTATGTGGGTGGTGCATGGTGTGTATATGTGCTGTGTTTGTGGTGTATGTGTGTTTGGTGTGTATGTGTACTATATGTGATGTGTGCATGTGATATGTGTGTGGTGTATGTGATGTGTGTGTTTTGTGTGTGTATGATGCTGTGTGTGTGCAGTGTGTGTAGTGTTTGATGTGTGCTTGATGTGTTTGTAGAATGTGTGTGTGGTGTGGTGTATGTATGTGAGGTATGTGTTTGCTCTATGTGTGTGGCACTGTATGTACGTGTGCAGTGTGTGGGGAGTATGTGTGGGGTGTGTGGTGTGTGTGGGGAGTATGTATGGGGTGTGTGATGTGTGTGGTGCTGTATGTGTGTGATGTATGTGTAGTAGATTCGTGTGTGGTGTGGGGGTATGTGCACGGGTACATGTACTGTGTGGTGTGTGTGATGTCTGTGGGGGGGTGTGTGTGCACATGATGTGTACACAGTGTGTGTGGTGTCAGAGGTATGCATGTGTGCACATCGTGTGTGTACAGTGTGTGGGGTGTGTGCATGTATACATGGTGTGGGTGCAGTGTGGTGTCTGTGTGTGGTGTCTGTATGGGGTGTATGCATGTGCACATGGTGTGTGTGCAGTAGGTGTGTTTGTGGGGTGTGGGCAGTGGGTATGGGGTGTGTGTGTGCATGCGCACATGGTGTGTGTGCTGTTTGTGTGGTGTCTGTGTGTGGGGTGTGTGTGCATGTGCACATGGTGTGGTGTGTGCAGTGTGTGTGTTATGAGTGACTGCTTTTAGCATGTGGACATCAGTCTTCCAGACCAGCTTTCTCCATGTGTCTGGGAACATAAGAAACAAGTTTCTGCAATAATTGTTACACAGCTTTTCCAGAGAGGGACCAAATCTCTGTCGTGAGTGGGTATCTGCATCATTTCGCAGGAGGGAATGTGATGTCCTGGCTTGGCTCACACCCTCTGTGGGTTTAGGCACGGGTTCCTGCTGGATCCCTCACTGTGGCCAGAGAGGGAGGGCTCTGTTTCACCACAGGGCACCAGAAGAGGACTGGTGCGTGGGAAGACCAGGTAATCATAATGCTATTAATAATAGCAGTAATCATATTGTTTTATACATTGTATATGTCATAAGGATTTTAACTTTCATGTAACATAATTGCTGTAAAAGTTTCCCCAGTTTGTTTTGTGCTATTTACCTGGTGTTAAAATGTTTAAGAATTTACATATTAGGTACGTTAGGTTTATTCCTTTTTATATGGTTTCTGTTTGAAATTTTGGTTTTAGAAGACATTCATTCTCAAGGTCATAAAACACACACATCTAATTTTCTTTTTTCTCTCTCTTTTTTTTTTACATTTAATACTGGAATTAACTTTTATGTAAGGTGTAGGACCATGATTCAATTCTGTCATTTTATATTCTGAAATCATTACCCAATATTTTAATACCACAAATGGAACAATCGCTCTGTTTTGTGGGTTTAAAATGTTACCCTGTTACTAGATAAAATTACACTCAATTTCTGTGTTTTTAATTCTCTTTCATTAATGTGTTTATTTTTGTGCCATTTCAAATTTGTTTAATTTTGGATAGTGATAATAATCTTAAATATCTTATAGTAAATTTTATAATAATGGCTCTCATTGTATGTGTGTGTTCAATATATGGATTTAAAATCACATGTTCTTGTTCGAAAATATTTTTCTTGGAATTTTTATTGGAATTTGAGCATATTTTTAAATGATTTACAGCCAACTAAAGAGTTAATATTATTGAGTCCTGTCATCCAGAATGTGACATGCAAATTCCTCAGACCTCCTTTAATGCCATTTAGTCAGAATTAATATGTTAAATCAATATAAATTAGTATAAATGAGTATAACTAATGATTAAAATAAATTAATGTGTTTGGCTCCACATTTCTGTCTTCTGCCTTCTATCACTGATGTTTTATTCCTATCCTTGTTGTTTTCTATAGTTTCTTTTATTATGTCTTTTTCTGTCTTGTGATTTGAAAACTATATAACACATTGTAATGTTTTAATTTTTCTAATTTTTTGCTTTTAATTTTAACTAATTTTATTTTTTAGAGAAGTGCAGGTTCACAGCTAAACGTAGCAGAGAGTACAGACTTCTCATATGTCCCTTTCCCCACACACAGCCTCCCCACTACAGCTTCCTGCCTCACAGGAGCACACCTGTGACAACCAGGAACCTACCTTGATCCTTCATTATCACTCAAAGCTTACAGTGCACATTCACGTTTACTCTTCACGTTGTACGTTCTGAGTCTTGACAAAAGTATAATGGCAACGGGATATTATTCACTGCTAACAGGAGATGAACTATCAAGCCACAAAAAAATACATGGAGGAAACTTAAATGCATATTGCTAAAAGAAGAAGCCAATCCGAAAAGTCTACGTACTGTTCGATTCCAATTATATGACGTTCTGGAAACGGTGAAACTATGGGATCAGTAGAAAGATCAGTGGTTGCCATGGACCAAGGGGAAGGAAGAGATGGATACACAGAGCACAGAGAATCTTCACGGCAGTAAAACCATTCTGTATGATACTATAATGGTAGATATATACATTTGTAAAAATCTATCTTAACTTTTAATCTTTTAAATTACATTTTTTTTTGATGGAGTCTTGCTCTGTCGCAAGGCAGGAGTGCAGTGGCACGATCTCGGCTTACTGCAACCTCCGCCTCCCGGGTTCAAGCGAGTCTCCTGCCTCGGCCTCCCGAGTAGCTGGAACTACAGGTGCCCGCCACTGTGCCTGGCTAATTTTTGTATTTTTAGTAGAGACTGCGTTCACCATCTTGGCCAGGCTGGTCTTGAACTCCTGACCTTGTGATTCACCCGCCTTGGCCTCCCAAAGTGCTGGGATTACAGGCGTCACACACCGCACCTGGCCGTTTTGTTTTAAGAACTGCAGACAAGCTGGGTGCAGTTGCTCAAGCCTGTAATGTCTGCATTTTGGGAGGCTGAAGTGGCTGGATTGCCTGAGCCCCAGAGTTCAAGACCAGGTGGGCAACATAGTGAGATCCCGTCTCTACAAAAAAAGTATTTAAAAAAAAATAGCTAGGCATAGTGCTGCATGCCTGTAGTCCAAGCTACTCAGGAGGCTGTGGTAGAAAAATCACTTGACCCAGCAGTTTGAGGCTGCAGTGAGCTATGATCATGCCACTGCACTCTGGCCTAGGCGACAGAGCGAAACCCCATCTCAAAACAAAGAACAACCAAAAACCTAGAAGCATACTCAGAGATATTGTGGGTTTGGTTCCAGACAACTGCAGTAAGGCAAATGTTACAAACAAAAACCTACAAGCACACCTCAGAGATAGTGTAAGTTTTGTTCCAGAACACTTCAATAAGGCAAATGTTACAATCAAGTTAGTTGCATAAACATTTTATTTCCCGGTGCTTATAAAAGTTATGCTTAAACTATATTGTAGTCTAATGAGTATTTAATAATTATTAGTTATTAATTAATAGCATGTCTAAAAAACTGTGTACATACCTTAAGTTAAAATACGTCAGAGCTAAAAAATGCTAATGAATATCTGAGACTTACCACGTCATAATCTTTTTGCTGGTGAGAGTCTTGCCTCTATATTGATGACTGCTGGCTAATCAGCGTGGGGGCTGCTGAAGGTTGGAAACCTGTGTCAATTTTTTAAAACAATGAAGTTTGTTCCTTTCACAAAAGATTTCCCTGTAGCATGTGATGCTGTTTGACAGCATTTTATCAACAGTAGAACTTCTTTCAAAATTGGAGTAAACCCTCTCAAACCCTGCTGCTGCTTTATCAACTAGGTTTATGGAATATTCTAAATCCTTTGTTGTCATTTCAACAATGTTGATAGCATCTCCACCTGGATTATATTCCATCTCAAGAAAATATTTTCTTTGCTCGTCCATAAGAAGCAACTCCCTATTTGTTCAAGTTTCATCATGAGTTTACAGCAATTTCATCTCACCTTAAGGCCCTAATTCTAATTCTAGTTGTCTTGTGATTTCTACCACATCTGCAGGGACTTCCTCCACTGACATCCTGAGCCCTCAAAGTCATCCATGAGGGCTGGAATCAACTTCTTCCAAACTCCTGTTAATGTTAATATTTCATCCTCCTCCCATCAATCACAAATGTCCTTAATGGCATTTAAGGATTGCTATTAAGGACATTTGTGATTCACGGGAGGAGGTTCAAATATCATGAAAGGATTAATGGTGAATCCTTTCCAAAAGGTTTTCAATTCAGTTTATCCAGATTCATCAAAGAAATCACTATCTATGACAGCTATACCTTTACAAAATGCAATTATTAATTAATAAAAACACTTGAAAGTCAAAACCACTCCTTGATCCACAGGCTGAAGGTAAATATTGTACTAGCAGCCATGAAAATAACATTAATTTCCAAGTACATCTCCATCTAAGCTTCTGGGGAGCTAGGTGAATTGTCAATAAGCAGCAATCTTTTTTTCTTTTTTCCTTTTCTTTCCTTTGATTTTTTCTTTTTCTTTCTTTTCTTTCTTTTCTTTTTCTTTTTTTTTTTTTTTTTTTTTTTTTTTTTTTTTTTTTTTGACGTAGTTTCACTCTTGTTGCCCAGGCTGGAGTACAGTGGTGCGGTCTCGGCTCACTGCAACCTCTGCCTCCAGGGTTCAAGCCATTCTTCTGCCTCAGCCTCCCGAGTAGCTGAAATTACAGGTACTACCACCATGCCTGGCTAATTTTTTTTGTATTTTTATTAGAGATGGGGTTTCATCATTTTGGCCAGGCTGGTCTTGAACTCCTGACCTCAGGTGATCCTCAGCCTCCCAAAGTGCAGGGATTACAAGTATGAGCCACTATGCCTGGCCAACCAACAATCTTTTTAAAAGAATCGTTTTTTTTTTTTTTCTGAGCAGTAGGTCTCAATAGTGGGATTAAAATATTCAGTAAACCATGCTATTAACAGATGTGCTGTCACCCAGACAGTGATGTTCCATTTCTAGAGCACAGAAAGAATAGATTTTGCATAATTCTTAAGGGCCCTGAGATTTTCAGAGTGGTCAATGAGCACTGGCTGTAACCTAAAGTCACCAGCTGCAGTGGTCCTCAAAGAGAGTCAGCCCATCCTTTGAAGTTCTGAAGCCAAGTGTTGACTTCTCTCTAGCTATGAAAATTCTACATCTTCACTAAGCTTAATCATTTCTAGCTCTGGACTTAAAGTGAGAGACTTGCAAGTCTTCCTTTCATTTGAGTTCTTTGAGGCCACTGTGGTTACTAATTAGCACCCCTGGTGGGTGTCACCCTCCTCCCTCCTCTATCGGGTTCACCTACACCGGGGCGTGGGGAACGTCGCTTCCTGCACCCCACATGCCCTGCGCTCCTGGGGCTCTCCCACAGGGGGCTTTCGTGAGCCAGGAAGCAAGGGTCATCCCCCTGCTCCAGCCCAGCCAGGCTGCACAGGCAGAAGGACTCTCCCAACCTGCCCGAGCATGCGGGGCTTTGTGTTCACTGTCCTGGCCCCTCCCTCCGAAACTGGGGCTCTCCCATCCTCAGACTCCCTGGTGGCCTCCGAACCCCAACAAATGACAGGAAGACCAGAACCCACAGCGCGACGGCCTGCTGGGCGCGTGCTCAGTGGGACAGCTTGGGGCCCCTCAAGCTGAGTCACAGGGGAAAGGTGTGCTTGCACCACCCACGTCCCACCGGAGTCCGTGGTGGGGCTGGAGCCCCAGGTCGCCAGGGCGGCATGGGAACCCGAAGACGGGGCACCTTCACCTCCCGAGCTCGTGACCCCGGAGGCCTCCGCGTCAAGCGCAGATGCCAGCCAACCGGGCACCTCCCAACCGCTCCAGGAGCCGGGGCTCTCGTCTGCACTCACCTCCAGCCTGTTAGATGAGCTCCTGTCAACCCCAGAGTTTCAGCAAAAGGCACAACCTTTCCTAGATCCGGCGCCACTGGGGGAGCTGAAGGACGTGGAAGAGCCCGCTTTGCTGGAACCACTCCTCAGACAGGAAGAACACAGGGCTCTGCTGGAGGAGCAGGTTGGGGCGGGTTTGGGGCAGGGTGGGGGCAGGGTGGGGGCAGGGCGGCGGCCTCTCTTTTGCAGTGAACCTCAGGCTTGGTATGGAGAGGCGTGTCTTCCCTTCCAGCTGACCTCCCTAGGATCCCTGAGTTCCAGGTCCAGCGAGAGACTCCACACAGAGTAGGGCTGTCAACAATGAAAAGAAAGCATTCCTGAGCATCCCGGGGATCCCAGGGCCGGTCCAGGTACAGGGAGGTGGGCTGTCTACTGCGCATGCGCGGGTTTCCAGGCAGCAGCCTAGTCTTCTAACTAGCCCAGGCGGAGCTCTCCTCCCTTTCCCCCCCGCGTTCTTCAATCGGGTTGGCGGAGACCTCAGTCCGCGAAACACTGGGCCGGGGCAGAATCCAGGCCAGTTCTCCTTTCTGTGGCTCAACTCCTCCGCCTCTTCGCTCACCATCACTTGCCAACCCGTGTCCCGCCAGCCTCCTCGCCAGCACCATAGAGCGCCTTACAACTAAATAAAGACCCGAGACCTCGCGCAAACCAGGGTGCTGCCCTTTCCAGGCAAGAGGGAAGGCAGGCAGAGATGAGGACAGGAACAGAGACAGAGTGAGATGGAAGGATGGAGCTAGGCAAGGATGGGTGGAAGGAGGGACCCCGGAAGGGAGAGAAAGAGGGAGGGAGGGAGAAAGGGAGGAAAAAGCCAGGGGAGGGAGGGTAGAACAGATGGAAGGATGGACGGAGAGACAAAAGGAGCAAGAAACAGAGAACAGAAGGCAGAGACAAAAAATGTCTTATGCCTCCAGAACCAACAGGACCCAGAACTCCGGGAATATGTTGGGTGCCCAGTACAGGCTGAGTGCTGGGCCCACAGCCCCGTTGGCCGGCGGGGCGCTCAGCGGCCCTCTGGATCACCAGCCTGGGTTACTTCATCCCGGAGCAATTCAGACCAATTCCGTTTCCGAAGGAATGAGCGAATTCCCCAGAGAGCAATGAGCCGAGACTCAGGTAGTTGTCTGTTTTTCATCCACATGGTTCACAGATGACATATCCCCACGTTGAGCCCTGCAACAGAGCTCGAGGCAGATAGTCCCATCCACACAGGAGTCACACCCAGGCCAACTGAAGCGTGATTCTGGATTCCACGTTTCTTTGCCCTCTGTAAAGGTGCCTGTTGCTCAAGTTTCTGCCCCCCGAAAGCGTGACCATGTTGACTGTTTGTTTCGCGAGCTCTGTGGGGCCCCAGAAACTTCCAGGAATGCGTGGAAGACCAGCATCGTGTCGGTGCTCTCCTTTCCAGTTTTCAAACAGGCTATATTGGAGACTCCACATTGTACAGGAAACAGGAATCCATTGTCAGGCCGTGATGCACGGGATGTTTCTTTTCTCTGTGGTTTCGCTCTCGTTGTCTACGTGAAAATGAACGAGATGAACACACCTGCGTGTGTGAGACTATCACGGCAACTGTGACACCCAGGCGTTGGCAATAGAGTTGGCAGCCTGATCCTGGGACAAAGGTACTGATGGACATCCAGACACACCCCACCACAGTCACTAGCAAACCGACTCCCAAACACACAGACACACACGGGCGCACACGCGGGAACACAAGCACACACACAGACACACAAAGACAGACAGCTTGAAGGAGAGCAAGGGACAGAGGGATGAGAGATAGAAACGGAAGGAGAGAAACAGCGATGGAGAGAGACACAGAGAGGAACCAGGGAGATTGAGAGAGAGAGAGAGAGAGCAAGGTGGAGAGGGAAGTAGGGAAAGGGAAAGGGTGAGGGAGCTTGAGAGGGAGAGCAACAGAGCCTTGGAGAGGGAGGCTCTATCTGGTAGACAGGGGCCCCTTTGGCCAGGGTAGGGTGGAGGGTGCCTGGGCTGGGCTGGAACAGGGGGGCAGGGCCTCCCACTCGGGAAAACCAACGGAGCCCTGAGACATGTTTTTACTTGGATTTGTTGGTTGCTTTGGGGGTGCTTTTCGTAGCGTCATTCCTTTGTTGGCTCCTCCCTGTCCTCTTGGTGCTGTGGGCCCTGAAAGTTGTAGAGTGCGCCCCTCACTGTGGCAGAAGCAGTGGCGCTGAACGTGCCCACGGGCCGCAGCTTGGGTCTCTCTCGTTTTCCAGGTGGTATGGCCGTAGACAATGGCAGTGGCGCCTGGCTGGCCCAAGAGCCCAGTCCAGCTACGCCTGCCTGATTCCAGGCGTCACCACCAACCCGGGAGCGCGAGGCTGGGATCAGGCACCCCGGAGCCGCTTGCCTGTGGCCCGGCTGCTCTCCCCCTCTACGCCCAAGCACCACCATCGCCACGCTGCGCTTTTCGCCGACCTCCCAGAGCGTCCCGATGTCGCCGGCGGCCAGACCATGCGCGAGACAGCCCAGGCGCCAGAGGCCTCCATCCCCTGCCAGGGCTCTGGACTCTCCAGGCGGCCACCCTCTCGCTGAGACTCCAGGCCTTCCCCAGGCTCTTGAGCTCCCGAGCTTCCAACACCTGGGGCCCGCTTAGGACGGGGTGTGCTCCGAGGCGTCAGGGCCCAGGGCCCGCGGTCCTGGGGTCCCCTCCGGTCCTCCGCCTTGCCGCGGAAAAATTATTTTGGATTCCTCGCCGCCCCTCCTGCAAGGCCCCCTCTTGCCCCACACACCCAGAGCCGCCAGGGCTGCCCAGGGGCGAACGGCCGGCCCAGCCCCACGGGCCCTTTTTCTCACAATGCTCACACCATCGTCGCTTGTTCTGACGGGGACCCGCCATGGCCAAAGGGGCAAGAAGGCTCTGCTTTGCCCCGCCCTGGCACTAGAGCCCCGGCAGCCTCATCCTGAGAAAGAGGGGCTGACGGACACCCAGACACACCCCACCACTACCACGAGCAAACCCACCCTGACACACACACGGATACACACGGGTGCACGCGGGCAGACACACACACACACACACCACACCCGGGCACACACACACGGACACACAAAGACAGACGCAGATAGCTTGAAGGGAGACCACCCCTCATATTGTCTTATGCCCAATTTCTGCCTCCAAAGAAAGAAGAAGTAAAATCTAAAAGGCAGAAATGAAATCCACAAGCAGACAGCCCCGCACCACACCCTGGGCCTGGTAGTTAAAGATCGACCCCTGACCTACTCGGTTATGTTATCTATAGATTACAGACATTGTATAGAAAAGCACTGTGAAAATCCCTGTCCTGTTTTATTCTGATCTAATTACCTGTGCATGCAGCCCCCAGTCACGTACCCTCTGCTTCCTCAATCCATCACGACCCTCTCACGCGGACCCCCTTAGAGTTGTAAGCCCTTAAGAGGGACAGGAATTGCTCACTAGGAGAGCTCAGTTTTTGGAGACGTGAGTCTGCTGATGCTCCCAGCTGAATAAAGCCCTTCCTTCTACAACTCGGTGTCTGAGGGGTTTTGTCTGCAGCTCCTCCTGCTACAGAAGGAAAGCAAAGGAGAGAGGGATGGAGAAATAGAACCAGAGGGAGAGAGAGAGACAGCGATAGAGAGAGAGAGAGAGATAGAAAAGGGGGGAGGAGAGAGAGAGGGGGGAAGAGAGAGCACCACAGTAGAGCACGAGGTGGAGGGGGAAGTAGAGAAAGGGAGAGGGTGAGGGAGTTGTGGAGCGACAGCGACAGAGCCTTGGAGAGGGAGGCTCTGCTCAGGTAGACAGGGCACCTTTCAGCAGGCCGGGGTGGGGTGCAGGGTTCTTGGGCCGGGCTAGAACAGGGGGTCAGGGCCCCCCAGCCAGGAAAACCAATGGAGCCCTGAGACGTGTTTTTTTTTCTTGGATTGGTTGGTTGCTTTGGGGGTGTGTTTCATAAGGTCCTTCGTTTGCTTCTTTCTGTCTCCTTGATGCGATGGGCCCCGAGATTTGTAGAGTGTGCTCCTGTGTCTGGCGGGAGCCGTGGCGCCGAGCCTGTCCACGGGGCGAGGCCTGGGTCTCTCTCCTGTCCTCCGGACTGGAGTTTACACGAAGTCGGTGGCATTGGGAAACAGGGTGCACAGGGACGGTTTTCCTCGTGGCTGGCGAAGAAAATGTCCTTCCTCTGGGGAAAGCAGCCCTCGGGTTCTGGAGCGGAGGTCTTGGCTGGGGTCTGTGGCACCCGCTGCCCCTGCTCGCCCCTTCCACCGGCTTGGACGGTTGCAGTGACGCTGAATGAATGAATACAATTGCCTGGGAGTCCGGGGAGCGTGAAGACACCCGGGACCTCAGGGAACCCGCGCCTGCACCCTCGGGGTTGGTCCCGTCCCGCCCGGGTTGGGTGGGGCTGCCGCGAGTCGGAAGAGGTGGGATGCTGCTGCCTGGCGGTGCTGCAGTGGCGGATCTTCAGGAGGAGGACCTGGGCTTCTGCTGGGGCGCGGGGGCGGTCAACCGGGAGCAGAGGCGGGGGGCAGTTGGGAAGCACGGAGACAAAAGGAGGAAAGAGGGAGGGAGCGGGAAGCCAAAAGCCTACGGTACCGCTATTACCAGGCGGAATCCCATCCAAGTACTAAACAGTCCCGACCCTGCTTAGCTTCAACAGATCAGAGGCGAGCCGGCGCGTTCAGGGTGGTGTGGCCTAGACGCCAGCAGCGGCACCTGGCTGCCCCAAGAGCCCGGCCCAGCCAAGCCCGCACGACTCCAGGCGTCACCGCCACCCCGGGGCCGCGGGTCTAGGATCCGGGACCCCCAGAGGTGCTCGCCCGTGCCCCCGGGCAGCTGTCTCCCTCTACACCCGAGGACCGCCGGCCTCCCAGAGAGTCCCGCCGTCACCGGTGGCTAGGCCTGGCTCAGGACCAATATGGCACCACCCTGCTGTTGCTGGGGGGCGCCGGAGGCCTCTGTCCCCTGCGCAGGCTTCCGGCTCTAGGGGCGGCCTCCTTTCCGCCCACGCTCCAGTCCTTCCGGGAGCTCCGGAGCTCCGGGGCTTCCACCACATCTGCCGGCTCAGGACGGGTCGTGTTCATCCCTTAACTTTTTAACTTTTTGTTGTTTCTATTTATATTTTATTGTGCTATGTCTTGAAATGTTGTTGTAGCTATTACTTTTGATTGGATATTATTTAGTATTCCTACTTTAAATAAGAGTAGTTTGCACACCACACAGCTATAGTGTTATAATATTCTGTTTTGTTTTGTATCCTATTAGCAGTGAGGATTTTTTTTTACCTTTAGGTGATCATTTATTACTCATTAATGTCCTTTTCTTCCTGACTGAAGTACTCCCTTTAGCATTCCTTTAGGACAGGTATGGTATTCATAAAATACTTCAGCTTTTGTTTGTCTGAAAAAGTCAGTATTTCTTCTTTTTTTTGAAGAACATTTTCACTGTACATTCTATTCTAAGGTAAAAGTTTCTTTCCTTTAGTACTTTAAATATTTATTGCTTCTCTGTCCTGGCCAGTAGAGTTTCCACTGTAAAGTCTGCTGCCAGACGTGTTGGAGCTCCCCAGTAGGTTATTTGTTTCTTTTCTCTTTCTTCCTTAAGAACTTTTATCTTTGACTTTTGGAAGACTATTGAATGCTTTGAAGTAGTCTTTTTTGGGTTAAATCTGCTTAATGTTCTATAACATTTTTGTAGTTGGATATGGCTGTCTTTCTCTAGGTTTGGAAAGTTCTCTGTTATTATCCCTTTGAATAAATTTTTCTACCCCTGCCTCTTTCTCTACATCTTCTTTAAAACCAATAACTCTTAGATCTGTCTTTGTGAGGCTATTTTCTAGATCCTCCCCTGCCTCTTTCTTTACATCTTCTTTAAAACAAATAACTCTTAGATCTGTCTTTGTGAGGCTATTTTCTAGATCCTGTCGGCATGATTTGTTGTTTTTATTCTTTTTCTTTTGTCTCTTCTATGTATTTTCAAAGAGCCTGTCTTCAAGCTCACTATTTCTTCTGCTTGATCCATTCTGCTATTACATGGCTCTAATGCATTCTTCAGCATGCCAATTGCATTTTTCAGCTCAGAATTTCTGCTTAATTTACTGTAACTATTTCAATCTATTTGTTGAGTTTAGCTGATAAAATTTGGAATTTCCTTACTTTGTTATCTTAAATTTCTTTCAGTTTTTTTTTAAATACAGCTATTTTGAATTCTCTGTCTGAAACATCACATATCTCTTTTTCTCCAGGATTTGTCCCCAGTGCCTTATTTAGTTCACTTGGTGAGGTCATGTTTTCCTGGATGGAGTTGATGCTAGTAGATGTTCTTCAGTGTCTGGACATTAAAATCTTGGGCATGCAACACCATATGAGAGGTTTAAAAAATAAAATTTAAAGAGAGAAAAGGTGAGTATTTATTGTAGTCTTCACTGTCTGGGATTATTTGTAGCTGTCTTTCTTGGGAAGGCTTTTCACATATTTGAAAAGAGTTGGGTGTTGTGATCTAAGCCATATCTGCTTTATGGAGCACCTTATACCCAATAATGCTGTAATTCTTCCAGACTCAGAGAAGTACCACCTTGACAGCCTTCAACAAGACCCAGGAGAATTTTCTGGATTACTAGCTACAGACTCTTTCCCTACCCTTATTTTCTCTCAAAGATACAGTCTTTCTCTCTGTTCTAAGCCACCTAAAGCTGGGAGAAGAAAGACACAAGCACCTCAGGCCACCACCACTATGACTGCCCTGGATCAGACCTGAAGCTAGCACAGCACGGGTCTTGCTCAAGTCCTGCTGCATGCACTTTCTGACGACTCCCTATGTTCACTCAAGGCCTTTGGTCTCTACAATTAGCAGGTGGCAAAGCCAGACAGGCCTGTGTTCTTTCCTTTAGGGCAGTGAGATCCCTCAGTCCCTGGCTGGGTCCAGAAGTGCTATTCAGAAGTCAGGGCTTTGGCCACTTTTTAATAGGGTTTTTTGTTTTTCTCTTGTAAATTTAAGTTCCTTATATTGAATATTAGATCTTTGTCAGATACATACTTTGTAAATATTTTTTCCTCATTCTATAGGTTGTCTGTTCACTCTATTGATGATTTCTTTTGCTGAGCAGAAGCTTTTAAGTTTAATGAGATCCCACTTGTCAATAGTTGTATTTGTTATTTTTGGTGTCTTTATCATGAAATCTTTGCCTCTTTCTATGTCCAGGATGGTATTGTCTAGGTTGTCTTCCAGAGCTTTTATAGTTTTGGGTTTTACATTTAAGTATTTAGTCCATCTTGAGTTGATTTTTGTATATGGTATAAGGAAGAAGTCCAACTTCAATCTTCTGCATATGGCTAGCCAGTTATCCCAGCACCATTTATTGAATAGGGAATCTTTTCCCCATTGATTGTTTTTGCCACCTTTGTCAAAGATTACATAGTTGTAGGTATGTGGTCTTACTTCTAACCTCTCTATTCTGTTCCACTGGTGTATGTGTCTGTTTTTGTGCTAGTACCATGCTGTTTTGGTTACTATGGTGCTGTAGGTTAGTTTGAAGTCGGGTAATGTGATGCCTCAAGCTTTGTTCTTTTTGCTTAGGATTGCCTTGGCTACTTAGGTTCTTTCTTGGTTCTATATGAATTTTTAAATAGCTTTTTTCTACTTCTGTGAAGCATGTCATTGGTAGTTTAATAGGAATAGCTTTGGACAGTACAACAATTTAAATGATATTAATTCTTTCTCTCCATTAACATGGAATGATTTTTCATTTATTTGTGTCTTCTCTGACTTCTTTGAGCAGTGTTTTGTAATTTTCATTGTAGAGATTTTTCACCTCCCTGGTTAGCTGTATTCCTATGTACTTTATTCTTTTCGTGGAAATTGTGAATAAAATTGCCTCTCTGATTTGGCTCTTAGCTTGGCTCTTCTTGGTGTATAGGGATGCTAGCAAATTTCGTACATTGATTTTGTGTCCTGAAACTTTGTGGAAGTTTTTTATCAGCTTAAGGAGTTTTGGGTCACAACTATAGGGTTTAGATACAGAATTATGTTGTCTGCAAACAGAGGTAGTTTGACTTCTCTTTCTATTTAAATACGCTTTATTTCTTTCTCTTGTCTGGTTGCTCCAGAAAGGACTTCTAATACTATGTTGAATAGGAGTGGTGAGAGAGGGCATCCCTGTCTTGTGCGGGTTTCAAGGAGGATGCTTCTAGATTTTGCCCATTTAGTATAATGTTGGCTGTGAGTTTGTCATAGGTGACCTTTATTATTTTGAGGTATGTTCCTTTGATACCTCATTTATTGAGAATTTTTAACATGAAGCTTTGTTGAATTTTACTGAAAGTCTTTTCTGCATCTGTTGAGACAATCATGTGGTTCTTATCTTTAGTTTTATTTATGTTATGAATCACATTTTATTGATTTGCCCATGATGGACCACCCTTCCATTCCAGGGAAGAAGCTTACTTCACTATGGTGAATTAGCCTTTTGATGTGTTGCTAGATTCAGTTTGCAAGTATTTTGTTGTGGATTATTGAATGGATGTTCATCAAGGATACTGGCCTGAAGTTTTCTTTTTTTGTTGTGTCACTGCCAGGCTTTGGTATCAGGATGATTCTGGCCTCATAGAACAAGTTGGGGAAGAGTCCCTCCTCCTCTATTTCTTGAAATAGTTTCAGTAGGACTGGTACTGGCTCTTCTTTGTACATCTGTTAAAATTTGTTAATCTATCAGGTCCTGGGCTTTTTGGGGGGTTGGTAGGCTATTTATTACGGATTCAATTTTTGGAGCTTATAATTGGTCTGCTCAGAGACTGAATTTCTTCCTGGTTCAGTCTCGAGAGAGTATATGTGTCCAGGAATTTATTAATCTCTTCTAGGGTTTCTAGTTTGTGTGTATAGAGGTGATCGTAGTAGTTACTGGTTGTTATTTTTATTTCTCTGGGGTCAGTGGTAACATTCCCTTCATCATTTCTAATTTTCTTTATTTGAATCTTCTTTCATCTTCTTTATTAATCTAGCTAGTGCCCTATCTTAGTAATTTTTTCAAAAAACCTTGATTAAGTGATCTTTTGAACAGTTTTTCATGTCTCAATTTCTTTCAATTCAGCTCTGATTTTAGTTATTTCTTGTCTTCTATAAGCTTTGTGGTTGAGTTCTCCTTGCTTCTCTAATTCTTTCAGTTGTGATGTTAGGTTGTTAATTTGAGATATTTCTAATTTTTTGATATGGGCATTACTTCTTATGCCCTACTCTAAATTTTGGTCTTCTAGAAAACTCAGAACTATGCTTTCTAAACCAATTCAAACTTTCTCAGTGAATCAACCTGGACTCCCTGAGGCCAAGTTAGCAATTTTCCATTACACGTGGTTCTCTTTCTCTGTAAGAATATCTAATGCAACAATGCAAGTGTTTCTTTCCCTCCTGGTAATGCGGGGAACTCCTTTTGGCTGAGACCAAGACTTAAAACCTTGTTCTTTCAACATTAATGAAGATCTATTTAGAAAGCCTCCATTTTTGCAGAAAAGATATATAAACACCAATGAAAATCAATATGAAATTATATGACATACAATTATATTGTGGAAAGACTGAATAAATAAGTGAACTAAGCTCTAAGAAAAAAAGATGATGATATAAAATGATATAGAAGTAAAAACCTGGGCTGGTATAGCATAATTAATGTATCAGTAAAGTATGTACATTGTAGAAGTGGTAGAAAGACAGCATAGAGAGTGAGACCTGACCAAAAGCTTTAAGGAAAGTTCTATACCCTTAAATGAGATTAAAGTGGACTCAGGAAAACATGGGCCACATGAGGGGAAGGACACATGTTCCAGACGAGCCAAAGCTCAGAGCATCTCTACCTTCTCCAGGAGGAAAGAGGAGGCAAAGCAGCAGGCAGAAGACAGCATGGCCAGGTCAGCACAGGGCACCCAGGCCAAGCCAGGTGGGCTCCATCGTACAGGTAGTGAGGAGACACTGCCAGGTGGGCTTTATTCATTAGTTTGTTTTGTTTCCTTTAGTAACGAAGACACATGATCAAAGTTGACCTTTGTAAGTGTTGCTGCAGCTGAACAAAAAGATGGATAAAACCAGTGTTTTAAAAATTATGTTGTATAGAGCACTAGCCTCAGTGAGGTATTAGTAGAACACACAGGCACACACATGCACACACACTCACACTAAGCCCAGATTATTCTGGCAAATGCTGGGTTAAGCAAACTAAAAGAAACATCTTTACTGCTGGACTTCTCAGAACCTGGAATGTGGCTATATGACTCATAAAACAGCAAGGTTAAGACAGAGCATGTCATTTTTTCCCAGAAATGCTGAAACGCTTTCATTCCCTTGGCTTCAGTGTCACCTTCTTTCTCCTGGTTCTCCATCAACCTCTTTGGCTGCTCCTTCTTGATTTCCTTTTTGACAATCTGCTGCTGCTCAGCCATTCTCTTTTCATTCCCCATGGATTTCTCAAGTGCGTTTCTATTCCTGCATTTTAAACTTTCCTTGCTTTTCCTGACACCTCTCCTTGTCTGACCCACCCTTGTTCTAAGGCAGGTGTTCCATCTGTGTGCACTTTTGGCATCCTGGGATGCTCTCAGCATGTTCCCTGCCACACTCCATCAGGTTTTCTCCGCAGACTCTGTGAGGGCAGCAGCCCTGTCTCCACCATTCCTTCAATGCTCAGCACATAACACAGAAGCTGACTCCATAACATTTAGTTGGCCAACCGAGACTAAATATATGTTCCTCTAGATCTTAAAAAGTTACAGAAACACAGCACAATAGACAAAATATTCTCTTTAGTCAGGAGTTCTCTATATATGTACAACAGTTTGAAGTCATTATTAAAGCAAAGTGAAAGAGAAACTGTCACAGAATTCCCTAAGATAAATTATTTTGCTTTAGTCTTCATCATGTGAGATAATCAAGACCATGTGTTATTGTAAATATTTCTAGCTTACAACACAATGACCTGATTTTTATTGTTTGAAATAACCGCAATATAAATCAGTTAATTAAAAATTGCATAAATAATCCTTTCAAATAAAATTCTGCCTAAATTTTACATTACTCATATGTTCAAATGATAATGAGCTCATAGGCTTTTCCAATACCTCAGTCAAAACATTGTACTGATTCCAGCTGTGGGAATAGTATCTGAAAGTTATTTTACAGATGGGGAACAGGTACTTACGTGACATTGGCCTTTGCACTACTGTGCGCTTTTAGGTCAGGAAAAAGCTGTTCCCTTAAAATCCTAAAATCTCTTCTGTCAGGTCTGAAGGGTGGGTGGGAAACACAGTTTTACAAATTTTAGCCACAGATATTTTATTCCTTGCTTAAAGCAGTGACTAGATAAAGGCCACTAGAAGAGTCTCCAATGTTTCTTTAGAAGCGTGTGCCTGAGAACATCTTCCAGAAACACTCCCTTGTCTCTGCCCAAAATCACCTTAGGTAGGAAAATAGAAACTCAGCAGGCTGAGGAGATCCAAGGGGATCACTGAGCTCTGAGTCTTATGAGAGAAGAGAGAGAGGTCTAAGACTTTTTGTGTATAAATTTATGGGTTCCAAGTGTAATTTTGCTGTAAGTATGGATGGCATAGTGGTGAAGTCAGGGCTTTTAAGTATCCATCACCAGAATAATGCACATTGTACCCAGTAAGTAATTTCTCACTGTTCACCCCTTCCATCCCCTCACCCTGCTGAGTCTCCATTATCATTCCACTCTCTATGTCAATATCTACACATCTTTTAGCACCCGCTTATGAGTGATAAAATACGATGTTTACTCTGTGTCTGGCTTGCTTCACTTACAACAATGGCCTCCAGTTCCATCCATGTGTCTGCAAAAGTTATGATTCTATTGTTTTTTATGCCTGAATAGTATTTCATTGTGTATATTTTCTACATTTTCTTTCTCCAATCATTTGTTGATGGGCATTTAGTTTGATTTTATGTCTGTGCTACTGTGAATAGTGTTGCAACAAATACACAAGTACAGTTATCTTTCTGATACATTGATTTCTTTTCCTTTGCATAAATACTCAGTGGTGGGATTGCTGAATCAGACAGAGCCAATAGATGATCAGTAATGGTGGCCAATCATCAGCTAGAAAGAAAGTGCTTAGCAGGGCTTGAAAACACCAAAACTCTGAGACCACTGACCTTCAAAAACTTCAACAGCCCTGAGTGAAAAGCCCAAACACATTTATCTACCATTCAAAGACGCTTCATTGTCTGTTCTCTGTGCATCTCAGTAGTCTCTTTTTACCACACTGTCTATATACTGCATGAGCCATTTATATGAAACTATCTGACACTCCAAGGCATCTTATACTATATATTCAACCATGTATCCCTAGTACCTAGCACAGTCCTGGCATATAGTTTGCTACTAAACTTTTACAGAATGAAGGAATTATCTTGTATCCAGGTTCCAAGTTTTAAGGTGATTCTTCACTAAAAAAAGTATTACAGTTCACAAATAATCTACTTCCCTTTTTACAAATGGGATCAATTTTAATCTTATCTCCTAATAACATTACTTTCATTTACTCTGATCTAAATATACTGTCCTAAGAGAGCAATAAGAAAGAGAGTTGAAGCTGGAGTTTGAAGAATTGTACATGGTCCTGTGATACCCTACCTTGTTTTAACCTGAGTGACTCTCTCCTAGCAGAGAGAGAGCCGGACAGACTCCATTTTAGTTTCTTCACGTGCATCCCCCTTTACCTCCCACCCTTAATTGCATAACTAGTGTAAACTAACTCAAAGCAGGTCCAGGAATGCACTTACTGATAAGATATTGAGGCAAGCTGCACCAGCTGCTCCTGGGTACGCACTCGGTGAATGTCACGCAAAACCCCTGCATTTCTCTCTTTGTGATGGTTTAAGCCCCTGCACCTGGAACTGTTTATTTGTTTTGTAACTGTTATTGTAACCAATTAATTTTTTAACTATTTGCCAGCTCTGCTTCTGTAAAACTTGTTTCAGCTAAACTCCCCCCTCCCCTATTTAGACCACGGCATAAAAACAAAACCAGCCCCTTCCTCGGGGCCAAGAGAATTTTGAGCATTACATGCCTCTTGGTTGCTGGCTAATAAAGGACTCCTTAATTTGTCTCAAAGTGTGGCGTTCCTCTATAACTCGCTTGGTTACAACAGTCCACACTGTGGCCTGAGGTGCATCGCCCACCTGAGCTTCATCTGTTATGTATGTCAGGGAATATAAGCAGGGTGAGAGTGGCCTCATCAGAGGACCCCAGATCTCTGGCTTACCCATCTGGCAAGCGCACCTCTGTGAGCAAAGACTTCAGAGCCAGATGACAAGAACGGCCCAAGCAGTCCACCAGGGAAACCTGGGCCCAGTGTACATCAATGCAGAGCATCAAGCATGGCGTAACAGGTGCACAGTTGCCTACTCCTGTTCAGAGATGACTGCATCCCACATACCGTAAAATGAGGAAATGCAGAGAAGCAGAAGTAACTGAAGAAGACAGCAGAAGCAACAAGGAGGGACAACCAGGACCTAGGAGGGCACCATGCCAGAGACGCCTGGACCCCACGCTAGGCTCAGTGCCTGTTATACTCTTGGGATCCAGCACTTTCCCTCTCCATCACATGGCATACTTGCCATTATTTGTTGTGTAAAATATTGTCCTTAGTTTTCACCTTTCCTAGGAGACACAGGCAGAGCCTGTGACACTACAGCTTCTGGCACACAGTAGGTAGGTGCATCACAAACATCTGCTGAGTTCACACACTCTTGCCTTCTCAAACCTTCCTGTCAAGTCTTCAGTGAAAAGGAATTGCTGATTGAGCAAGAATTAAACTTCTAGAGACTCCTGGATCCACTGAAGTTTGAGACAAGGTGAGATTTGTTTACTGTCATATTCCTAGCTCATAACATATTGTAGTCACTTAAAAAAGTTTGCTGAATAAGTGAGTAAATTGATTCATACGTCATACTTAGCTATATATTTTCTGAGTAGAATTGATAAAGTTAATAGTTTAAGTCTAGTATAATTTTGCTTTACTCATTCAACGAACCTGACAATTCAACTAGGTGCCAGGCACACTGCTGCTGAAGAAAAAGAGGTATAAGATATAATTTCTGTCTACAAGAAAGCCACAGTCTAAAAAGTAGAAACATGAACAAATTGTAACAATAAATAGGCTAAATTCAAAATCAGAGGAGTTTGTTTCTATTTTAAACAGCTCTAGTCAGGAAGTGTTAGAGAGTTCTAAACAGGAAATGTTCCAACACACCATCTAAGCATGAAGCAGGAGACACCCATAATTGAGTTTGCTGCCACCAACCCCAACAGCAAGAATTCCAGTCCTGCTGCTGCAAAGTAAGTGTCACTCTGATTTTATTGCTGCTGTGTAACCCAGTTTTAGACTCTCTGGTTCTCACTTAATGTTCTAAAAAAGTATTAAAGAGAAAATTTTATTCTGGTGATGAGCCCATCCACTGCAGCCATCTCAACATCATACCAATTATAAGCCTATCATTTAAAAAGAAAGCTGTTAGTTTAACTTATTTATCCAAATATCAGTATTACATAAACATATTTGTCATCAGACTTTGGACTTATGGGTTAAATAGCATATAAATATGATTAGAGCCTTAAAGTTTACACTTCTCTGGTTCGCTCAAATTTTTTTCAAAATAGCATATGCCTTTCTAAACAATGGTTAGTATATTTTTCAAAATGAACATTAAAATGTATATTTTCCAAAAACAAAATACAGCTCCCATTGGTAAATGATGCTATTGAGACACAACAGACAACTTCTCTTGGGAACCATTTAATCAGTGCTCACTTTTGCACTCTTTCCAGAAATGTCAATGGCTTTGAAATATAGAAGTATATTATACAAATAAACTTATACTTATTCAGTATTGTGCAATATTTAGTATTTCTTCTAGCCATCTCTTGCTGAATAGTAAGCCATTCCAAAACTTACGGAATTATTTATTGTTTAATATTGTTTATTGTTATTATTTGTTTAGTAATTTTAATAACGTTATTTCTCATGGTTTTGTGGGTTGATGGGCACTACAAAAGTTCTCTTTTGGAGTCTTTCTTGCAGTTGCGGTTGCTTGGCTGCTGCTGAAGTCACCTGAAAGCTCAATTAGGCTAAAGAGTCTAGACGGGTCACTTACATGGTTGGCAGTGCATATTGGCTGCTGAGTGTGATGCCTATCTGACCTCTCCATGTTACCTGGAGTGCTCATAACGTGGTAGTTTGTCCCAAGACACACAGGCAAATACTATAAAGCTTCTTAGGACCTAGCCTTGGAGGTCCTAGAACAAGACTTCTGCTCCATCCTTTTGGAAAAGCAAGTCATTGTGACCAGCACAGATTCAAGAAATGGGAGATTCGACTCTGCCTGTCAATGTAAACAGCAGCATGTGCATGCAGGGAGGAAAGAAATCGAGGGCATCATCTAGAAGACTATCATATCACACCATTATTCCAACTAATGAACATTATGTTTTAGATGGGTAGTACTAGCTACTCATCTCTCCCCCAGAAACCCAAGCTAAGCATGGACATATTGAAGAGAATGTCAGCACCATTAAAAAAAAACTCTAGAAAAATCACATGTGATGACTGAGGTTAATTCAGTCTGTCAATTACATCAATATAATTGCCTTCTTGTAGCCCTAAGTATGGTGAAGCAGAATTGAATTCTACAAAAGTCTTTCATCTGTTTTCCTATGGAATAATTAACAAACCCAATAAATGTATAAATAGCATGAAGTCCGACTTATTTTAGATTTTTACCTCATAATTTCAAAGCTTATAGAAATCCAGAGAACTAATCATCATAATCCATAATGCCTGGACCAGAAGTCCTTGTTCTAAGAGTATCTTGTGGCATGCTAAAAATGTATTACTAACTAGGAAATTTAAAACTTTTTTGTTAGTGGTTTTAAGAGAGCTGACTAGCTCATCACCACAATTCACACAGATTAAGAAAGGAGGTTACTCTGTGGAGTGGATTCATAGTGATCAGAAAAAAAAAAAATCACAAAAGAGGAAAGGAGATAGGGAAGGGGAAAGATACTGTCAATCCCTAAGTGATTTTTCGAATGGTTTGATTTTGTATTTGCAAAGGAAAGGCAGCTTAATGTGATAGAATAAGAATCCCACTTCTGTATCTTTTTTTTTTTTTTTTTTTTTTTTGAGACGGAGTCTCGCTCTGTCGCCCAGGCTGGAGTGCAGTGGTGCAATCTTGGCTCACTGCAAGCTCTGCCTCCTGGGTTCACGCCATTCTCCTGCCTCAGCCTCCCGAGTAGCTGGGACTACAGGCGCCCACCACCACGCCCGGCTAATTTTTTGTATTTTTTGTAGAGACAGGGTTTCACCGTGTTAGCCAGGATGGTCTCGATCTCCTGACCCTGTGATCCCCCCACCCCGGCCTCCCAAAGTGCTGGGATTACAGGCGTGAGCCACTGTGCCTGGCTCGTCTTCTTTTGAGAAGTGTCTGCTTATGTCCCTTGTCAATGTTTTAATGGGGTTGTTTTCCTAATGTCCAACATCACTAATCATCAGAGAAATGCAAGTCAATGTGAGATACCATCTCATATTTGTCAGAATGGCTACTATTAAAAAGTAAAAAAATGACAAATTCTGGTTAGACTTCAGAGAAAATGAAATGCTTATACACTGTTGGTGAGAATGTAAATTAGTTCAGCCACTGTGAAAAGCAGTTTGGAGATTTTTCAAAGAATTTAAAACAGAAGTGCCATTCAACCAGCAATTCCATTACTGAGTATATATCCAAAAGAAAATTAAGAATTCTACAAAAAGAAACCCCACATGCACTTGTATATGCGTCATATTGCTATTCACAATAGGGAAGGCATGGAATTAACTTATGTGTAAATCAATAAATTGGATAGAAATATGTGCCACATATACACCATAAAACACTATGCACACGTTAAAAAGAATACAATTATGTCCTGTGCAGTAACATGCATACGTCTGGAGGCCATTATCATAAGGAAATTAATACAGGAACAGAAAACCAAATACCATATATTCTTGCCTATAAGTAGGATCTAAACATGGGGTACTCATGAATATAAAGATGACAACAATAGACACTGAGAACTACCAGATGAATGAGGGAAGGAGGAGGGCAGGGGGTGAAAAACCATAGGTGCTATGCTTACTGCCTAGGTGATGGGATCAATTATATCCCACAATATATGCTCACTACCTTGGTGATGGGATCAATAATATCCCACATTGCTCAGCATCACACAATATATCCATGTAATAAACCTGCAAATATACTCCCTGAATCTAAAAAATTTAAGGCAGAGACAGAGTAAGAGGGCAGAATAGAAGCCTACATTCTCATCACCACACAAAAACACCAAATTTTCACAACTAACTACATTCAAGAAGCACTGTCAAAGGGACCAAAAATTGGGTGAGCAATCACAGTACCTGGTATTAACTTCATATCACCGAAACAGACATTGGAGAAGACAAAAAAATAAAAGGCGGTCTAGAAGCATGGATGCCACCTCTTTTTCAACCACCAGTAGTGGCTACATCGTGCAGAGATAGTATGTTTGGGAGAGGGAGTGCATAGTTTGTGAGGCTTTGCAATAAACTCAGCACTACCCTGTCACAGTGAAAAGCAGAACCAGACTGTACACAGCTGACATCTGCCAATGGAGGGAGCATGTGTATTGGCCCTAGAAAGAGGAAAACCTCCCATCCTAGTGTTGGGAGCTTGAGTTTTTACAAGTCTTGCCATCATGAGTTGACGTGCTATTGGACTCTAAGGAACTTAAGGGGCAGTCTAGGCCACAAGGACTTCAATTATTAGGCAAGTCATATTCCGAGCTGGGCTCAGAGCCAGTGGAATGTGGAGGGTGGGGAGTATGGGGTCTACAGAGACAGCAGCCACAGCAGCTAAGGGAGTGCTCACAACACCACTCCCCCACCCCCCACCTAGCAGCAGCCACACAACACACAGAAACCTGTGAATTTGGGAGAGGGAGAGCACAGTGACTGGAGGACTTTACATCAAACTCAGTGCTGCCATGTCAGTAAAGACCTGGCAGAATTCATCACCTGCTGACTAAAGAACCCCTGTACCCAGAATAAAAAAACAGTGACAACCAGGTAATACACCATGGGCATTGGGCTCTGAGAAGTGCTAAGTTCAGGTGTGACCCAGTACATTTCTAGCTGTGGTAGCTATGGTGAAAGACTTCTGTTTGAGAAAGGCAGGGGGGAAAGTAAAGGGAACTCTACATTGCACCTGGTATACCAGCTCAACCACAGTGGGGTAGATCACCAAGCAGATTCTTAGAGTCCCTGAGTCCAGGCCTAGGGTCTTCTTGGTCAGCATTTCTGCACTTGCCCTGGGCCAAAGGTCGAGTCCCAGGCATTGCAGAATTTATCACAAGCTAACTAAAGAGTCCTTGGGCTTTAAGTGAGAAAGTGATGATGATTTGGTGGAAACCCCCCATGGGCCAGTAGTGTTGGCAGTCATAGAAGAAGCTCTTCTGCCTGCAGAGAGGGTAAAGAAGAGTAGAAAATACTTTGTCTTATTCCCTAAGTGCCAGGTTAGCTACAATAAAATAGAAGAGCAGCTAAATTCTGAAGATTCTAAGCTTTAATCTCTGGCTCCCAGGTAGCATCTGTGGACCCACTCATGGCTAGGGGAACTTGCAACCCTATAGGCAGAGACACAAACTTGGCTGGCATTGCCAACTATTAATCACAGAGTCCTGGGGCTTTGAATAAACTTATATGGTAGCCAAGTAGTGGTTGCAGTGGGCTTTGGGTGAGACCAAGTTCTGTGCCTACTTCAGGTGTGAACCAGCACAGTCTCAGTGGTGGTTGCCACAGGAGTTCTTCTGTTGCCCCAACCCCAGCTCCACATGTCTCAGCACAGAAAGAGAGACTGCTGATTTGAGAGAAAGCAAGGGAAGAGAACAAGCTTCTCTACTTGATAAATCAGAACAATTTTTCTTGATATTAATCCAAGGCCACCAAGGCAGTACCTCTACGTGTTTGCATAAACTACTGTGCTATTGGGTTTGGGACCCAAGTTTCTTTGAATACCTGAAAAGTGTTCCCAAAGATAATGGACACTAACAAGCCCAGACTGTGAAGACTACAATAAAGACTGAATTCTTCAATGCCCAGATACAGATGAATATCTACAAGTATCAAGGCCATCCAGGAAAACATGACCTCACCAAACAAGCTAAATAAAGTACCAGGGACAAATCCTGGAAAAAGAAAGATATGTGACCTTTCATACAGGAAATCCAAAATAACTGGTTGAAGTAATTCAAAGAAATGTACAATATAACACAGAGAAGGAATTCAAAATTCTATCAGATAAATTTAACAATGAGATTGAAATAAAAAGAATAAAGTAGAAATTCTGAGGTTAAAATGCTATTGTCATACTGAAGAATGGATCGGAATTACTTAAAAGAATTGACCAAGGAGAAGATAGATTTAGTGAACTTGAAGCCAGACTATTTAAAAATACAAAGTCAGAGGAGACAAAAAGGAATAAAAAATAAAGCATGCCTATAGAATTTTAAAAATAGCCTCAAAATAGCAAATCTAAGAGTCATTGGCCTTAAAGAGGAGGTAGAAAAAGAGATGACTTGAACATTTATTTAAATAAATAATATTAAATAATATTAAACAATTCCTCAACATTTGATATCAACATTCGAGTAACAGAAAGTTACAGAACATAAAGCAGACTTAACCCAAAGAAGACCACCTCAAGGCACTAAACTGAACTCCCAAAGGTTAAGGATAAAGAAATGATTCTAAAAGCATCGAGAGAAGAGAAACAAATAACATTCAGCGGAACTCCAATACATCTGACAGCAGACTTTTCAGGGGAAAATTTACAGGCTGTGAGATTGGCATGACATATTAAAAAACTGAAGGAAAAAAAGACTTTTACTTTAGAATAATGTATCTGGCAAAAACGTCCTTTAAACTTGACGGAAAAATAAGAACTTTTTCCAACAAACAAAAACTGAGGGATTTCATTAACACCAGACCTGTCCTACAAGAAATGCTAAAGGGATATCTTAACCTAAAAGAAAACAAGTTAGTGAGCAATAAGAAATCATCTGAAGGTACAGAACTCACTAGCAATAGCACATGGAAAAACACTGAATATTACAATATGGTAATTATGGGGTGCAAAAATCTCAAATAGAGTAAACAATAAACCAATAAAAATAATAACTACAACAAATTTATTTCCAATACATAGACTGTAAAATAGGGGATGAAGAGAAACAACAAAAAGTTGAAAAGAATGGCAGTATAGGGTTTTTATTAGTTGTTTTGCTTGTTTCTTTTTTTATTATACCTTAAGTTATAGAGTACATGTGCACAATGTGCAGGTTTGTTACATATGTATACACGTGAGATGTTGGTGTGCTGCACCCATTAACTCGTCATTTAGCATCAGGTATATCTCCTAATGCTATCCCTCCCCCATCCCCCCACCCCTCAACCGTCCCTGGTGTGTGATGTTCCCCTTCCTGTGTCCACGTCTTCTCATTGTTCAATTCCCACCTATAAGTGAGAACATGCGGGTGTTTGTTTTTTTGTCTTTGTGTTAGTTTGCTGACAGTGATGGTTTCCAGCTTCCTCCATGTCCCTGCAAAGGACATGAACTCATCATTTTTTATGGCTGCATAGTATTCCATGGTGTATATGTGTCACATTTTCTTAATCCAGTCTATCATTGTCAGACATTTGTGTTGTTTCCCAGTCTTTGCTATTGTGAATAGTGCTGCAATAAACATACGTGTGCATGTGTCTTTATAGCAGCATGATTTATAGTCCTTTGGGTATATACCCAGTAATGGGATGGCTGGGTCAAACGGTATTTCTAGTTCTAGATCCCTGAGGAATCGCCACACTGACTTCCACAATGGTTGAACTAGTTTACAGTCCTACCAACAGTGTAAAAGTGTTCCTGTTTCTCCACATCCTCTCCAGCACCTGTTGTTTCCTGACTTTTTAGTGATCATCATTCTAACTGGTATGAGATGGTATCTCATTGTGGTTTTGATTTGCATTTCTCTGATGGCCAGTGATGATGAACATTTTTTCATATGTCTTTTGGCTGCATAAATGTCTTCTTTTGAGAAGTGTCTGTTCATATCCTTCACCCACTTTTTGATGGGGTTGTTTGGGTTTTTCTTGTAAATTTGTTTGTGTTCATTGTAGATTCTGGATATTAGCCCTTTGTCAGATGAGTAGATTGGAAAATTTTTCCCCCATTCTGTAGGTTGCCTATTCAATCTGATGGTAGTTTCTTTTGCTGTGCAGAAGCTCTTTAGTTTAATTAGATCCCATTTGTCAATTTTGGCTTTTGTTGCCATTGCTTTTTGTGTTTTAGACATGAAGTCCTTGCTGATGCCTATGTCCTGAATGGTATTGCCTAGGTTTTCTTCTAGGGTTTTTATGGTTTTAGGTCTAACATTTAAGTCTTTAATCCATCTTGAATTAATTTGTGTATAAGGTGTAAGGAAGGGATCCAGTTTCAGCTTTCTACATATGGCTAGCCAGTTTTCCCAGCATCATTTATTATGTAGGGAATCCTTTCCCCATTTTTTGTTTTTGTCAGGTTTGTCAAAGATCAGATAGTTGTAGATATGCAGCATTATTTCTGAGGGCTCTGTTCTGTTCCATTGGTCTATATCTCTGTTTTGGTACCAGTAACATGCTGTTTTGGTTACTGTAGCCTTGTAGTATAGTTTGAAGTCAGGTAGTGTGATGCCTCCAGCTTTGTTCTTTTGGCTTAGGATTGACTTGGCGATGTGGGCCCTTTTTTGTTCCATATGAACTTTAAAGTAGTTTTTTCCAATTCTGTGAAGAAAGTCATTGGTATCTTGATGGGGATGGCATTGAATCTATCAATTACTTTGGGCAGTATGGCCATTTTCATTATATTGATTCTTCCTACCCATGAGCATGGAATGTTCTTCCATTTGTTTGTATCCTCTTTTATTTCATTCAGCAGTGATTTGTAGTTCTCCTTGAAGAGGTCCTTCACATCCCTTGTAAGTTGGATTCCTAGGTATTTTATTGTCTCTGAAGCAATTGTGAATGGAAATTCACTCATGATTTGGCTCTCTGTTTGCCTGTTGTTGGTGTACAAGAATGCTTGTGATTTTTGTACATTGATTTTGTATCCTGAGACATTGCTGAAGTTGCTTATCAGTTTAAGGAGATTTTGGGCTGAGACGAAGGGGTTTTCTAGATATACGATCATGTCATCTGCAAATAGGGACAATTTAACTTCCTCTTTCCATAATTGAATACCCTTTATTATGACCACTATGAAGGAGTTTATGACCGCTAGGTTTGTTCTTCAAGAAATGCTAGAAAGTCCTTTGAGATTAAAAAATGAGAGTACCAAAAAAGCCATAGAATACTATAAAGCTCTGTTGTAAAGCAAATATATAGAGAAATATAGCATCCTATATTATTGTGATGTTGGTAAGTAATTTCAATCCCCTTATAGAATTTGACACCAATATACAAAAATATTTTATATGTATGTTAAAGAATACATCATGTAAAAAGGCCTAATTTGTGACATCAAGAACCACATGTGTGTTGGGAAAGACAGTCACGCAAAAGACTGGAGTTTTTATATGCTACTGAGATAACATCAGATTAAACTAGTTTGTTATAACTTTGAGACGTTTCATGTCATCTGTATAGTAATCACAAAGATAATACATGTAGAATGTATACAAAAGAAAAAGAAATAAAAACATATTAGTACAAAAATTAATTAGACAAAAAGGAAGACAGCAAGAAATAAAATATATAAACAAAAGAACTACAAAAGAAACACAATACAATTAACAAAATGGCAGTAGTAACTCCTTAACTGCAAATAATAACCTTATATGTAACAATGTTAAATTCTCCAATAACAGACAGAAGGTCACTGAAAAAATAAAAATATAAAATCAAATGAATTCTGTTTATAAATTGTTTATAAAAATAAAAATATAAAATCAAATAAATTATGTTTATTTAAGGATAAACATGGAATGAAAGTGCAGGGATGGAAAATTATATTCTATATGGTAACCAAATCATCCTAAATAGCAACCAAAATAGAACAAAGTGGGTCACATTTACATTAGATGATTAGACTTTAAGCAAAAAACTGTCATAAAGACAAACAAGGACATTATATAATAAAAATAAATCTCCAAGAAGATATCATAATTAAAATATGCACATGAATCAGCAACTATTCCAAACACATAACACAAATAATGACAGAATTAAAAGGAGAAATAGGCTGAGTACAGTGGCTCACGCCTGCTTGTAATCCCTGCATCTTGGCGGGGGCAGAGGCAGGAGGATGGCTTGAGCCCAGGAGTTGAGACTAACCTGGGCAAGACAGCAACACTTCGTCTGTGTAAAAAACAAAATTATAAATAAAAATAAAGGGAGGATTAGAGACCACCACCAAAATGATAGGAGACTTTAATAATGGAGAGGACAACCTGGGAGACCAAATGAAGACAGAGGATTGAGCAAGGAGTGATTCAACCAAATCCAACAGACTTTTAGAAACGGTCTTCTCAACAACAGAATGCGCATGATTCTGGTGCGCACATGGAACATTCTTGAGACTATATCACAAATCGGACCACAAAGAAATCAATTCAAGAAAATTAAAATCATACGAAGTATCATTTACAACTAAAATGGAATGGAACTAGAAGTGAATACCAGAAGAAAATTTTAAAAATTTGCAAATACATAAAAATCAAGTAACATGCTCCTAAACAACATTATGGGTTAAGGAAGAAATCACAGTGAAAATTTCAACATAACTGGAGACAAAGCATAACAAAATAATTGAATGCATCTAAAGCTTGTATTCAATTGTAGTAGTAAATGTGTGCATTTAAAAAAATCTATCTAAATCAACTAGGAAATGTAACCACACATCAGTAAAGAATAAGAATTTCAGCAGTTATAAATAAATAACAATTAAAAGCCATGGAAAAATCAATTAAAGTTTGGTTTTATTGAAAAGATTAAGAAAACCGACAAACAGATTAAAAGAAAAAAGAAGATACCTCAAATAATTAAATTCATAAATAAAAGAGGAGCTATTACTACTGATGCCACAAAAGTAGGAAAAGAAGAGACTATAAAAGTTTAATTCCAAGTATATGCCAAAAATATGATAAGCTAAGAGAAATAGACAAATGTCTAGAAATATAGATTATACTAAAAATAAACCATAAAAAAATCTGAATAGGCATATAAGTAGTAACAACAACCTCCCCTCAAAAAGCCCAGGCCCGGATCACTTCATTAAATACATATTTTTTTCAAAATGTTAAAGCAGGGTTAACACCAACCCTTCTTAAACTACTTCAGAAAAATGAAAAAGATAAAACAATTTCCAACTTATTTTATGAGCCCAGCATTAACACAACACCAAACCCCACAAAGACACTAAGGAGAAAAAAAAATACAACTACAAATCAATTTTCCTGTTGACTATTGATGTAAAAATTCTCCTCGGAACATTAGAACACCAAATTCAATAACATATTGCAAGGATTATACACGATGACGAAGAAGGAGTTATCTCTCCAATGAAAGTATTGTTCAGCACTTGTAAATCAATCTATTTGTTTTTTATTATACTTTAATTTCTAGGGTACATGTGGACAACATGCAGGTTTTTTACATAGGTTTACATGTGCCATGTTGTTTTGCTGCACCCATCAACTCATCATTTACATTAGATATTTCTCCTACTGCTATCTCTCCTCTAGCCCTCCAGCCCCTGACAGGCCCCATTGTGTGATGTTACCTGCCTTGTGTCCAAGTGTTCTCATTGGTAAATTCCCACCTATGAGTGAGAACATGTGGTGTTTGGTTATCTGTCCTTGTGATAGTTTGCTGAAAATGATGGTTTCTGGCTTCATCCAAGTCCCCGCAAAGGACAAAAACTCATCTGTTTTTATGGCTGTGTACTATTCCATGGTGTATACGTGCTGCATTTTCTTAATCAGTTCTATCATTGATGGACATTTGGGTTGGTTCCAAGTCTTTGCTATTGTGAATAGTGCTGCAATAAACATACGTGTGCATGTGTCTTTATAGTGGCATGATTTATAATCCTTTGGGTATATGCCCAGTAATGGAATTGCTGGGTCAGATGGTATTTCTAGTTCTAGATCCTGGAGGAATGGCCACACTGTCTTCCACAATGGTGGAACTAATTTGCAATCCCACCAACAGTGTAAAAGCCTTCCTATTTTTCCACATCCTCTCCAGCATCTGTTGTTTCCTGACTTTCAAATAATCACCATTCTAACTGGCGTGAGATTGTATCTCACTGTGGTTTTGATTTGCATTTCTCTGATGACCAGTGATGATGAGCTTTTCTCATGTGTCTGTTGGCTGCATAGATGTCTTCTTTTGAGAAGTGTCTGTCCATATCCTTTGCCCAATTTTTGATGGTGTTTTTTTCTTGTAAATTTGTTTAAGTTTTTTGGTTTTTTGTAGATTCTGGATATTAGCCCTTTGTCAGATGGATAGATTGCCAACAATTTTCTCCCATTCTGTAGGTTGTCTATTCATGCTGTTGGTAGTTTCCCTTACTGTGCAGAAGCGCTTTAATTTAATTAGATCTGATTTGTCTATTCTGGCTTTTGTTGCCATTGCTTTTGGTATTTTAGTCATGAAATCTTTGTCCATGCCTATGACCTGAATGATGTAGCCTAGGATTTCTTCTAGGGTTTTTATGGTTTTAGGCCTAACATTTAAGTCTTTAATCCCTGTTGAATTAATTTGTGTATAAGGTGTAAGGAAGGGATCCAGTTTCAGCTTTCTACCTATGGCTAGCCAGTTTTCCCAGCACCATTTATTAAATAGGGAATCCTTTCTCCATTGCTTGTTTTTGTCAGGTTTTTCAAAGATCAGATGGTTGTAGATGTGTGGTGTTATTTCTGAGGCCTCTGTTCTGTTCCATTTGTCTATAGATCTGTTTTGATATCAGTACCATGCTGTTTGGTTACTGTAGCCTTGTAGTATAGATTGAATTCAGATAGTGTGATGCCTCCGACTTTGTTCTTTTTGCTTAGGTTGTCTTGGCGTTATGGGCTCTTTTTTGGTTCCATATGAACTTTAAAGTAGTATTTTCTAATTCTGTGAAGAAAGTCATTTGTAGCTTGATGGGGATGGCATTCAATCTGTAAATTTCCTAGGGCAGTATGACCATTTTCACAATATTGGTTATTTCTATCCATGAGCATGGAATTTTCTTCCATTTGTTTGTGTCCTCTTTTATTTCATTGAGCAGTGATTTGTAGTTTTCCTTGAAGAGGTCCTTCACATCCCTTGTAAGATGTATTCCAAGGTATTTTATTATCTTTGTAACAATTTTCAATGGGAGCTCACTCATGATTTGGCTCTCTGTTTGTCTGTTATTGGTGTATAGAAATTCTTGTGATTTTTGCATATTGATTTCTTATCCTGAGACTTTGCTAAAGTTGCTTATCAGCTTAAGGAGATTTTGGGCTGAGACGATGGGGTTTTGTAAATATACAATCATGTCATCTGCAAACAGAGATAATTTGACTTCCTAATTGAATACCTTTGTTTCTTTCTCTTGCCTGATTGCCCTGGCCAGGATTTCCAACACTATTTTGAATAGGAGAGGTGAGAGACGGCATTCTTGTCTCGTGTCAGTTTTGAAAGGGAATGGTTCCAGTTTTACTGATTTAGTATGATATTGGCTGTGGGTTTGTCATAAATAGCTGTTATTATTTTGAGATACATTTCATCAATATGTAGTTTATTGAGAGTTTTTAGCAGGAAAGACTGTTGAATTTTGTCAAAGGCCTTTTCTATATCTATGGAGATAGTCATGTGGTTTTTGTCATTGATTCTGTTTATATGATGGATTACATTTATTAATTTGTGTATGTTGTACCAGCCTTGCATTCCAGGGATGAAGACTACTTGATCGTGGTGGATAAGCTTTTTGATGTGCTGCTGGATTCCATTTGCCAGTATTTTATTGAGGATTTTCACATCGATGTTCATCAAGGATATTGGTCTAAAATTCTCTTTTTTTGTTTTGTCTCTGCCAGGGTTTGGTATCAGGATGATACTGGTCCCATAAAATGAATTAGGGAGGATTTCCTCTTTTTCTATTGATTGGAATAGTTTCAGAAGGAATGGTACCAGCTCCTTTTTGTACCTCTGGTAGGATTCAGCTGTGAATCCATCTGGTCCTGGATTTTTTTTTGTTGGTATGCTATTAATTATTGCCTCAATGTTCAGAGCCTGTTATTGTTCTATTCAGAGATTCAACTTCTTCCTGGTTTAATCTTGAGAGGGTGTATGTGTCCAGGAATTTATCCATTTCTTCTAGATTTTCTAGTTTATTTGTGTAGAGGAGTTTATAGTATTCTCTGATGGTAGTTTGTATTTCTGTGGGATCAGTGATGATATACCATTTATCATTTTTTATTGTGTCTATTTGATTCTTGTCTTTTTTCTTCTTTATTAGTCTTGCTAGTGGTCTATCAATTTTGTTGATCTTTTCAAAAAATCAGCTCCTAAATTCATTGATTTTTTAAGTTTTTTTTGTGTCTCTATCTCCTTTAGTTCTGCTCTGATCTTTCTTGCCTTTTGCTTGTTTTTGAATTTGTTTGCTCCTGTTTCTCTAGTTCTTTTAATTGTGATGTGGGGCTGTCGATTTTAGATCTTTCCTCCTTTCTCTTGTGGGCATTTAGTGCTATAAATTTCCCTCTACACACTGCTTTAGATGTGTCCCAGAGATTCTGGTGTTTTTTGTCTTTGTTCTCACTGGTTTCAGAGAACATCTTTATTTTTGCCTTCATTTCGTTATTTGCCCAGTAGCCATTCAGGAGCAGATTGTTCTGTTTCCATGTGTTTGTGCCATTTTGAGTGAGTTTCTTAATTCTAAGTTCTAATTTGATTGCACTGTGATCTGAGAGACAGTTTGTTGTGATGTCTGTTCTTTTACTTTTGATGAGGAGTGCTTACTTCCAATTATGTGATCAATTTTAGAATAAGTGTGATGTGGTGCTGAGAAGAATGTTTATTCTGGTGATATGGGGTGGAGAATTCTGTAAATTTCTATTAGGTCCACTTGGCACAGAGCTGAGTTCAAGTCCTGGATATCCTTGTTAACCTTCTGTCTTGTTGATCTGTCTAATATTGACAGTGGAGTGTTAAAGTCTCCCATTATTATTGTGTGGGAGTCTAAGTCTGTTTGTAGGTATCTAAGGACTTACTTTACGAATCTGGGTGCTCCTGTATTGAGTGCATATATATTTAGGGTAGTTAGCGCTTCTTACTGAATTGATCCTTTTACCATTATGTAATGGCCTTCTTTGTGTCTTTTGATCTTTGTTGGCCATTTACATTTAAGGTCAATACTGTTATGGTGAACTTGATCCTGTCATTGTTATGTTAGCTCACTGTTTTTCCTGTTTATTGATGCAGCTTCTTCATAGTATTGATGGTCTTTAAAATTTGGCATATTTTTTGCAGTGGCTGGTACCGGTAGTTCCTTTCCATGCTTAGTGCTTCCTTCAAGAGATCTTTTAAGGCAGGCCAGGTGGTCTCAAAATCTCTCAGCATTTGCTTGTCTGTAAAGGATTTTATTTCTCCCTCACTTATGAAGCTTAGTTTAGCTGGATATGAAATTCTGGGCTGAAAATTCTTATCTTTAAGAATGTTGAATATTGACCCCCACTCTCTTCTGGCTTCTAGGGTTTCTGTTGAGAGATCTGCTGTTAGTCTGATGGGTTTCCCCTTGTGGGTAACCCGACCTTTCTCTCTGGCTGCCCTTAACATTTTTTCCTTCATTTCAACCCTGGTGAATCTGAAAATTAGTATCTTGGGGTTGCTCTTATCCAGAAGTAACTTTGTGGTGTTGTCTGTATTTCCTGAATTTGAATGCTGGCCTGCCTTGCTACATTGGGAAAATTCTCCTGAATAACATCCTAAGGAGTGTTTTCCAACTTGGTTCCATTCTCTCTGTCACATTTAGGTACACCAAGCAAACGTAGATTTGGTCTTTTCACATAGTCCCATTTTTCCTGGAGGCTTTGTTCATTTCTTTTCACTCTTTTTACTCTAAACTTGTCTTCTCACTTTATTTTATTAATTTGATCTTCGATCACTGATATCCTTTCTTCCACTGGAGTGAGTCAGCTATTGAAGCTTGTGCATGTGTCACAAAGTTCTTGTACCATGGTTATCAGCTCCATAAGGTCATTTAAGGTATTCTCTACACTGTTTATTCTAGTTAGCCATTGTCTGACCTTTTTTCAAGGTTTTTAGCTTCCTTGCGATGTGCTCAAACATGCTCTTTTAGCTTGGAGAAGTTTGTTATTACCAGCCTTCTGAAGCCTCCTTCTGTCAACTCGTCAAAGTCACTCTCCCTCCAGCTTTGTTCCATTGCTGGTGAGGAGCTGCAATCCTTTGGAAGAAAAGAGGTGCTCTGGTTTTTAGGATTTTCAGCTTTTCTGCTCTGGTTTCTTCCCATCTTTGTGGTTTTATCTACCTTTGGTATCTGATGTTGGTAACTTACAGATGGGGTTTTGGTGTGGATGTCCTTTTTGTTTATGTTGATGCTATTCCTTTCTGTTTGTTAGTTTTCCTTCTAACAGTCAGGTCCCTCAGCTGCAGGTCTGTTGGAGTTTGCTGGAGGTCCACTCCAGACCCTGTTTGCCTGGGTATCAACAGAGAAGGCTGCAGAACAGCAAATATTGCTGCTTGATCCTTCCCTGGAAGCTTCGTTGAAGAGGGTCTCCCACCTGTATGAGGTGTCTGTTGGCCCTTACTATGAGGTGTCTCCCAGTTAGGCTACACGGGGTTCAGGGACCCATTTGAGGAGGCAGTATGTCCATTCTCAGAGCACAAACACCATGCCAGGAGAACCACTGCTCTCTTCAGAGCTGTCAGATGGGAGGTTTAAGTCTGCAGAAGTTTCTGCTGCCTTTTATTCAGCTATGCCCTGCCCGCAGAGGTGGAGTTTATAAAGGCAGTAGGCCTTGCTGAGCTGTGAGTGACTCTACCCTGTTCAAGCTTCCTGGCCACTTTGTTTACCTACTCAAACCTCAAAAATTGTGGATTCACCTCCATCTGCTCAGCTGCAGCATGAAGGTTAATCTCAGACCGCTGCACTGGCAGTAAGCAAGGCTCTATGGGTGTAGGACCCAATGAATCAGGCACAGGAGAGAATCTCCTGGTCTGCCAGTTGCTAAGACTGTGCGAAAAGTGCAGTATTTGGGCAAGAGTGTCCTGTTTTTCCAGGTACAGTCTGTCATGCCTTCCCTTGGCTAGGAAAGGAAAATCCCCCAACCCCTTGCACTTCCTGGGTGAGTTGATGCCCTGCCCTGCTTCAGCTCACCCTCCATGGGATGAACTCACTGTCCAATCAGTCCCAATGAGATGAATCAGGTAGCTCAGTTGGAAATGCAGAAATCACCCATCTTGCATTGATCACACTAGGAGCTGCAGACCAGAGCTCTTCCTATTTGGCCATATTGGAATGAGAGTTTAAATCAATCAATTTAATATATCATATTAACAGAGTAAAAGATATAAACCACACAATCATCTCAAATAATGCAGAAAAGTCAACTGACAGTATTAATCATCTTTTCAAGATAAAAAAACAATAAACTAGAAATAAAAGGAAACTAACATAGCAAAAGATATGTAAATAACTCATCACCAACTGGGTTCAACAGCTTATGCCTATAGTCCAAGCAGTTTGGGTGGCTGAGGTGGGTGGATGATTTTAGGTCAGGAGTTCCAGACCAGCCTGACCAACATGGCGAATCCCTGTCTCTACAAAAAATATTAACATTAGCTTGACGTTGTGGTGTGTGCCTGTAGTCCCAGCTACCAGGGAGGCTGAGGCATGAGAATAGCTTGAACTCGGGAGGTGGAGGTTGCAGTGAGCCCAGATCATGCCACTGCACTCCAGCCTGGTTGACAGAGCAAGATCCTATCTCAGAAAAACAAAAACAACAACAAAAACAAAAAAACAAAAACAATCATCACTAATATTATACTGAATTCTGAAGTGTGGAAAGTTTATCCTCTAAGATTAATAATAAGGCAAGATATTCACGGTTGCCACATCTATTCAAAAATAGCAGTGAAAGTCCTGGCAAAACAACTAGGCAATGAAAAAAAGAAAAGATCCACATTCTAAAGGAAGAAGTAAAATTACCTGTTACTTATGATATGATGTTATATACAAAAAAATCCTATACACTGAAAACAATACCTGTTAGAACTAATAGTTGCATTTAGGAAAATTGCAGAATACAAAATTAAGTGTATTTCTCTTCATTACACGGTACAATCCAAGTTTTTAAAATTCCATTGAAAATAGCATTAAGAAGAATATACTTTGGAATAAACAAGCAAAGAGATGTAAGACTAGTATACTAGAAGTTACAAGATGTTGCTGAAGAAAAGTCACAAACAATGGAGAAGATATTCTATATTTATAGATTAGACAATTGAAAAGATATCCCATATTCATAAATTAGAAAACAATATTCTTAAGTCTATACTAATGAAATCAACAACAGATTAAATGCAATAGCTTTATAAATCATAACAATATTTACTTGCAGAAATAAAAAATTCTAAAACATATGAAATCTCAAGATTTAAAATAGCCAATTAAACTTGTAAAATAATGTCAATTGTGGAGCCCTCACAATTTTTAAATCAAAAACTAATTGCAGTGCTGTTGAACTCTTTTCAAATGTGGTATTTTGAGGCCAGGTTCTATGGCTTACACGTGTAACCTCAGCACTTTGTGAGGCTGAGGTAGGAGGATTGCTTGAACCCAGGAGTTCAAACCACACTGGACATCCTAGTGAGAACATCCATCGCTAAAAAAAAAAAAAAATTAAAATTAAAATTAACCTGGCAATGTGACATGAACCTGTAGTCTCAGCTATTCCAGAGGCTGAAGTGAGAGGATTTTTTTAAGCCTGGGAGAGCAAGGCTGCAGTGAGCCATGGTCGCACCAGTGCACCCCAGCCTAGATGACAGAGAACCTGTCTCAAAAAGTAAAAAGGAGAAAATCTAAAAAGAAATGTATTAAATCAAGACGTGTAGACATAGAAAATAATAGAGACCCCTCTCTCCACAAAACCTTGTATATATGGTCAAAATGATCTTCAACAAGGGTGCAAAGGCCAAACTATGGAGAGGGAATAATAGCCCCCTTTAACACAAAAACGGTATGAAGATTTGCTATCAACATGTAAAATATAGAAGTCAGAATTGTAGATTATACTATATTTTTTTAAAAACTCAAAATGTTTAAGTCTGAAAGTCTTACACAAAAATATAAGGGAAAAATATCCAAAATTATGCCATGGAATTTGGCAATGGGTTCTTGACTGCCAGCAGCCCCACATCCCTGGAGCATCCATCCGCTCACCGCTGCCTGGTGCTGGGTCCTTCCACACCTGTCACACTGCTTTGTGCGGGGCCCTGAGGGGCACGAGCCAGGACACCAGGCCGAGCACAGGGCACAGGCCGGGCGTTCTCCGGCTATTCGAGGGCAGGCTGTCCCCATGACAGCCTCAGGCGCAGGAGGGATGACGGCCTGATTCGAGTCTGTGGAAGGAGGAAGAAGCTCGTTTCCTGAGCCAGCAGGGACACAGAGGCCAATGCGGGACACAGGGACACAGGGGTGGATGCCATAAAAATATATGGCATATATTTTGAAACATGGCCGCAATTTGAATAATTAGAGTGTTATGCTGAAACTGCACCAAAATTTATCATTCCAGTGACTACAGGGAATTTTTAATAGTTGTTATTTTTATAATAAAATTAAACTTTAATGAAATAACTGACTTTCAAACTTCAGCAAGAGGACAAATATTCAGCCAGAGGTATCAGTTCCCGGTTTCTGCTTCGGGTCCTCTCTGGTCTCCCACAGCCCCTCCTGCATCACCCAGGTCTAAGGGGCCACCTGGCCTGGCCTGTGTTCCCTCGTCCCTCCCCTTCCCCACCCAGATCCTGCAGCGCCTTCCTGGGGCAGGGGCGGCGAACCGTCCAGAGCGGGAGGCTCCCTCGCCCAGGGCAGCACAGCTCCGCCCCTCTCCACACCTGCCCAGCCCCTGGCAAAGGAGTCGCCTGGGCCTGGCCCGCTGCCCGCCCCCCAATGCCTGCCCTGTGCCTGCAACTGCGACGCTGCCAACAAGAGGTGCCAGAGACCGCGGCGCAACCCGCCCAGAGAGCAGGGTCCCACTCAACTGGGAGCGGGGGCACGTCCCTTCCGGTAGGCGATGGAGTTAAGATTGTTTCCTTATTTATTTTACTTAAAACTGGTAGAATGTCACTATTATATGAAGTATCCATGACTCTCTCAGTAAATTTGAGCAAATGTTTATTAGTTTTTGTCAGTTTAACTAGTTCTTTTGTGTCTATTATTAAGGTGAAATTTAACTTCTATCTGAAATCAGTAAGATACAGAGAGATTTTAATGACAAGTGAATATTTTTTTCTCAGGGGGAACTGAATTATGAATTGAATGAATGAATTATGAATTAAATGAATGAATTCATTAGCAAAGTAGAGAGGACACTAACCAATCGGTAGTTTTAATCAATCTGTATTCCCTCCCCCCTCCCTCTTTGTTTTTTGTTTGTTTGTTTGTTTTTGAGACAGAGTTTTGCTCCGTCGCCCAGGCTGGAGTGATGTGGCGCGATCTTGGCTCACTACAACCTCCGCCCCCCGGGTTCAAGCGACTCTCCGCCTCAGACCCCCGAGTAGCTGGGATTACAGGCGCCAGCCACCATGCCCAGTTAATTTTTGTGTTTTCATTAGAGGCGGGGTTTCACCACGTTGGCCAGGCTGGTCTCAAACTCCTGACCTCGGGTGATCCGCTCACCTTGGCCTCTCAAAGTGTTGGGATTATGGGCGTGAGCCACCAGTCCCGGCCCCTCCCACCCCTCTGTATTATGACCCTGTGTACCCAGCATTTAGCTCCCACTTATGAAAGAGAACATGCGGTATTTTGTTTTTTGCTTTTGCATTAGTTTGCTGGAAACAATGCATTCATGTTGCCTCAAATGGCATAATTTTGAGTTTTTTCTGGCTGTATAGTATTCCATGAGTCTTTATCCAGACCACCACTGATGGATGTCTGGATTAAGCCTATGTCTTTGTGATTGTGAATACTGCTGTGATAAAACTATAGCTACATGTGTCTTTTTGATAGAATATTTATTTTATTTCGGGTATATACCCAGTAATGGGGTTACTGGATTGAATGGTAGATCAACTCTCAGTTCTTTAAGAAATCCCCAACCTGCTTTCCACAGTGGCTGAACTAATTTACATTCCTTCAGAAAGTGTATAAGTGTTCTCTATTCTCTAAATCTTCACCGATATGTGTTTTTCTTTTGACTTTTCAGAAAAAGCCATTCTGACCGGTGTGAAATGGTATTTCATTTCGGTTTTGATTTGCATTTCTCTAATAAATAATGACGATGAGCACTTTTACATATGTTTGTTGGGTGCTTGTGTGTATGTCTTCTTTTGAAAAGTGTCCGTTCATGTCCTGTTGCCCACTTTTTAATGGAGTTACTTGCTGCTTGCTTGTTGATTTGTTTAAGTTCCTTATAGGTTCTGCATAATAGACCTCTGTTAGATGCGTAGTTTGTGAATATTTTCTTTCATTCTGTGGATTATCTCTTTACTACCTTGATAGTTTCTCTTGTTGTGCAAAAGTTTTTCAGTTTAATTAAATCCCACTTGTCATTTTTTGTTTTAGTTGCAATTGCTTTTGAGGACTTAGCCATAAATTATTTGCCAAGGCCGTTATCAAGAAAAGTATTTCCTAGGTTTTTTCTAGGCGTTTTATAGCTTGAGATTTTTCATTTAACTCTTTAATCCATCTTAAGCTAATTTTTGTATTTGGTGGAATATGGGGGTCTAGTTTTATTCTTCTGCATATGACTAGCCAGTTATCCCCGCATTATTTATTAAATAAAGTCTTTTTCCCATTGCTTACTTTTGTCAACTTTGTTAAAGATGTGATGGTTGCAGGCATGTGGCCTTAGTTTCTAGTACTCTAGTCTGTTCCATTGGTCTATGTGTCTGTTTTCCTACCAGTATCATGTTGTTTTGATTACTATAGTCTTCTAGTATAGTTTGAAGTCATGTAATATGATGTCTCTAGCCTATGTCTCTAGCCTTAGTATTGCTTTGGCTTGGCTATTCAGACTCCTTTTAGGTTCCATATAAATTTTAGATGTTTTCTATTTTGTGCAAAATGACATTAGTAGTTTGATAGGAAAAGCATTAAATCTGTAAATCGCTTTGAGCAGTATACTCATCTGCACGCAGATGATACTCCAGTATATGTTCTGTGGTTGATGAGTGAAGTGTATTGTAATTCCAATTGGTCAAGCCAGACCCTGCCCCCGCCCGGCTCCTCCTATGCCAGAGCTCCACACCTCTAGCCAAGGGCCCTCTGCAGCCATGGGGGATAGGGCTGAGGGCCGGTTCCCGCCCCCGTGCAGCTGCTGCAGGGCAGACTGCCTGGCTTGGCCGCAGCCACAGGGACATCTGGCCCTCGTTCCGAGATGTGGGAAGTGAGGGCGGACTGGGGAGTTGCCTGGAGGTTGCTGCCTGCACACAGAAGGCGGCTGCAGCTTGGGAGCCCAGGCGGGCTGGAGGTGCATGGCCTGGTCGGCCTCGGGATCGCCAGCGCGCCCAGCCTGAGGGCCCCCAGGCTGTGCCTCCCGCCCAGTCCTCCACCTGAGGGAGATCGGGGCCGTTGGTATGGGCCCTCAGCAGTCACCCCGTGTGGGGTTGAGCGGCGGCTTCTCAGTTCTCGCTCCTGTGCAGCCGCCGCCGCCGGTCAGAATGCCACTGGGACACCTGGCCCTGGTTCTGCGATGCTGACAGCGCGAGCGAGCTCGGGGGTTGCCAGGCAGCTGCTGCCTGCACACAGAGGGCGACTGCAGCTTGGGCGCCCAGTCGGCGGAGCATGGTCTGGGTGGCCTCTGGAATGCGTGCGCTCGAGGCCTGAGGGACCCGCTGTTGGTGCCACCTGCCCTGCTCTGCGCCTCTCCGCGCCTGGGCCCCCTCCGCGCCTGCGCCCCCTCCGCGCCTGCGCCGGCGCTCTGGGCCTCTCTGCCTTTGCGAAGGGCGCTCTGCCTTTGCTAGGGCAGAGCTGCCTTCTCCTCAGCACAGACCAGGAGAGCATCGCGAGGGCGGAGCTGAGTTCTCCTCTGCACAGACTTCGGAGATACAGCGAAGGCGGAGCAGTGTTTGCCTCAGCACAGACCCAGGCGGGCGGGCCGGGGGTACCGCGAGGGCGGAGCTGCGTTCTGCTCAGCACACACCCGGGGGACACCGCGAAGGCAGAGCAGCGTTCTCGTCAGCACAGACCTTGGGGGCACTGCCTCGCTTTGGGACAACTCGGGGCCGCATCAACGGTGAATAAAATCCTTCCTGTTTGTAGCCCTGAATAATCAGGGTCAGAGACCAGTTAGAAGGGTTCAGTGTGGAAAACGGGAAACCAAAAGCCCCTCTGAATCCTGCCCACCGAGGTTCTCCTCAGCCAAGGCGAGGCGGCCGCAGTGCGAGATCCACACTGCAGCCTCGGAAGACAAATGCGGCATTCCTAATGCAGACATGACACCCAAAGTATGACACCCCCATTGCTCATGTAACAAGCACCTGTAATGCTAATGCGCTGCCTCAATACAAAAATATTAATATAAGATCCGCAATCCCCTCGCTGCCGTGCAGTCCAAAGACAGCCATCATAATAATCAACATTGACATAGTCAATACAAACTTAGTAACGAACCTAGGGTTAAGGTTGGTGTTAGGGTTAGGGGTTAGGGGTTAAGTTTAGGGTTAGAGGTTGGAGATAGGGATTGGGGTCAGAGTTAGGGGTTAGGAGTCAACGTTTAGAGTTAGGGTTTAAGAGATGTTAGGGGTTAGGGATTAGGGGTTAGGGCTGGGTTAGGGTGAGGGTTGGGGTTAGGGATAGTGGTTAGGGTTTGTGTCAGGGGTTAGGGGTCAGGGTCAGTGGTTAGGGGTCAGGGTCAGGGGTCAGGGTCAGGGGTCCCACTCTGCGATTTGTCTATTTACTCTGCTGACTGTTCCCTTTGCCATGCAAAAGCTCTTTAGTTTAATTAAGTCCCAGCTATTTATCTTTGTTTTTATTGCATTTGCATTTGGGTTCTTGGTCATGAAATCCTTGCCTATGCCAATGTCTAGAAGGGTTTATCCAGTGTTATCTTCTAGAATTTTTACAGTTCAGGAATTAGGTTTAAGTTCTTAATCCATCTTGAGTAGATTTTTGTATAAGGTGAGAGATGAGAATCCAGTTTTATTCCCCTACATGTGGCTCGCCAATTATCCCAACTTCATGTGTTGAAAAGGGTGTCCTTTCCCCACTTTATGTTTTTGTTTGCTTTGTCAAAGATCAGTTGGCTGTAAGTATTTGGGTTAATTTCTGAGTTCTCTCTTCTGTTCCATTGGTCTATGTGTCTATTTTTAAACCAGTACCATGCTGTTCTGGTAACTATGGCCTTATTGTACAGTTTGAAATCAAGTAGTGTGATGCGTCCAGGCTTGTTCTTTTTGCTTACCCTTGGTTTGGCTACATGGCACTCTTTTGGTTCCATATTAATTTTAGAATTGTTTTTGTAATTCTGTGAGGGATGATGGTGGTATTCAGATGGGGATTGCACTGAATTCGTAGATTGCCTTTAACAGAATGGTAATTTTCACAATATTGGTTCTACCCATCCATGAGCATGGGGATGTGTTTCCATTTGTTTGTGTCATCTATGATTTCTTTTCTTTCTTTTCTTTTTTTTTTTTTTTTTTTTTGAGAGGTAGTTTCGCTCTTGTCGCTGAGGTGGGAGTGCAATGGTGTGATCTCAGCTCACTACAACTTCTGCCTCCCGGGTTCAAGCGATTCTCCTGCCTCAGTTTCTCGAGTAGCTGGGATTATAGGCATGCACCAACGTGCTTGGCTCCATCTATGATTTCTTTCAGCAGTGTTTTGTAATTTTCATTGTAGAGGTCTTTTGATTACTTTGCTAGGTATATTCCTAAGTTTTGTTTTTTTTTTTTTTGTTTGTTTTTTGCAGCTATTGTAAAAGGGGTTGAGTTCTTGATGTGATTCTCAGCTTGGTAGCTGTTGATGTATAGAAGAGCTACTGATTTGTGTACATTAATCTCGTATCTGGAAACTTTGCTGAATTCTTTTATCAGTTCTAGGAGCTTTCTAGAGGAGTCCGTAGGGTTTTCAAGGTGAAAGATCATATCGTCAGCAACCAGTAACAGTTTGACTTCCTCTTCACCGATTTGGATTTCCTCTATTTCCTTCTTTTGTCTGATTGCTCTGGCTAGGACCTCCAGTACTATGTTGAAAAGGAGTGGTTAGAGTAGGCTCTTCGTCTTGTTCCAGTTCTCAAAGGGAATGCTTTCACCTTTTCCCCATTCAGTATTATGTTGGCTGTGGGTCTGTCATAGATGGCTTTTATTACATTAAGGTATGTCCCTTGTATGCCTATTTTGCTGAGAGCTTTAATCATAAAGCAATGCTAGATTTTGTCAAATGCTTTTTCTGCATCTGTTGATAAAATCATGTGAGTTTTTTTTTAAATTCTGTTTATTTGGTGTATCACATTTATTGACTTGCATATGTTAAACCATTCCTGTGTCACTGGTATGAAACCCACTTGATCATGGTGGATTATCTTTTTGATATGTTGTTGGATTCAGTTAGATAGTATTTTGTTAAGGATTTTGGCATCTGTGTTCATCATGGATATTGGTCTGTAGTTTTCTTTTTTGGTTATGTCCTTTCATGGTTTTGGTATTAGGGTGATGCTGGCTTCATAGAAAGAAGGGAGTGTTTCTTCTTTCTCTGTCTTGTGCAATAGTGTGAAAGGATTGGTATCATTTCTTCTCTGAATGAAAGAAAATATTCTTTGAATGTCTGGTAGAATTCTGCTGTGAATCTGTCTGGTCCTCGGCTTTTTTTGTTGGTAATTTTAAAATTACCATTTCAATCTTGCTGCTTGTTTTATTGGTCTGCTTGGGGTATCTACTTCTTCCTGATTTAAGCTAGGAGGGTTGTATTTTTCCAGGAATTTATGCAACTCTTCTGGGTTTTCTAGTTTTTGTGCCAAAAGGTGTTCATAGTACCCTTGAATAATCTTTAATATTTCAGTGGTGTCAGTTGTAATATCCCCTGTTTCATTTCTTAGTGAGGTTATTTGGATTTCCTCTCTTCTTTTCTTGGTTAATCTTATAATGGTCTATCGATTTTGTTTATCTTTTCAAATAACCAACTTTTTGTTTTATTCATGTTTTGTATTTGTTGTTGTTGTTGTTGCTGTGTCAATTTCATTTAGTTCTGCTCTGATCTTGGTTATTTCCTTTGTTTGCTGGGATTGGGTTTGGCTTGTTCCTGCTTCTCCAGTTCTCTGAGATGTGAACTTAGATTGTCTGTCTGTGCTCTTTCATACTTTTTGACATAGGTGTTTAGGGCTACAAACTTTCCTCTTAGCACTGCCTTTGCTGTATCCCAGAGGTCTTGATTGGTTGTGTCATCCAGTTCAAAGAAATTTTTTCCATTTCCATCTTGATTTTGTTTTTCACCCAGTGCTCATTCAGGAGCAGGTTATTTAATTTCCATGTATTTGCATGGTTTTGAAGATTCCTTTTGGAGTTGATTTTCAGTTTTATTCCACTGTGATCTGAGACAGTGCATGGTACAATTTCAATTTTCTTAAATTTATTGAGACTTGTTTTATGGCCTATCATATGGTCTATCTTGGAAAAAATTCCATGTGCTGTTGCATGGAATGTGTATTCTGTGGTTGTTGGATGAAATGTTCTTATATATCTGTTAAGTCCATTTGTTCCAAAGTATAGTTTAAATCCAGTGTTTCTTTGTTGACTTTCTGTCTTGATGACCTGTCTAGTAATGTCAGTGGAGTAATGAAGTCCCCCACTATTATTGTGTTGCTGTCTATCTTATTTCTTATGTTTACTAGTGATTGTTTTATAAATTTGGGAGCTCCAGTGTTAGGTTCATGTATGTTTAGGATTGTCATGTTTTTCTGTTGAATGAGACCTTTACCATTATATACTGTCTGTCTTTGTCTCTTTTAGCTACTGTTGCTTTAAAGTTTGTTTTGTCTCATATGAGAATAGCTACCGCTGCTCGCTTTTGGTGTCCATTTGCATGAAATGCTTTTTTCTACCACTTTCCTTAAGTTTATGTAGGTCGTTATGTGTTAGGTGAGTCTCCTGAAGGCAGCAGATAGTTAGTTGGTGAGTTATTATCCATTCTGTGGTTCTGTATCTTGTAAGTGGAGCATTGAAGCCATTTACAACCAACATTAGTATTAAAAAGTGAGGTACCATTGCTTTCATCATGCTCTCTGTTGCCTCTGTACTTTGTTTTTGTTTTTTGTTTTTGCTTTTTAACTTGTATTTTTGTTTTATAGGTCTTGTGTGATGTATGCTTTAATGAAGTTCTGTTTTGATGTGTTTCCAGGGTTTGTTTCATGATTTAGAGCTCCTTTTAGCAGTTCTTACAGTGCTGGTTTGGTAATGGCAAATTCTGTCAGCATTTGTTTGTCTGAAAATGACTGTATCTTTCTTTCATATATGATGTTTAGTTTTGCTGGATACAGAATTCTTGGCTGATAATTGTTTTGTTTGAGGAGGCTGAAGAAAGGGCCCCAATCCCATCTAGCTTTTAAGGTTTCTGCTGCAAAATCTGCTGTTAGTTTGATAGGTTTTCCTTTATAGGTTACCTAGTGCTTCTGTCTCACAGCTCTTAAGATTCTTTCTTTTGTCTTAACTTTGGATAACCCAATGACAATGTGCCTAGGCTAAGATCTTTTTGTGATGAATTTCCCAGGTGTTATTTGTGCTTCTTGTATTTGGATGTCTAGGTCTCTCACAAGGCCACGGAAGTTTTCCTTGATTATTCCCCCAAATATGTTTTCCTAGCCTTTAGAATTCACTTCTCCCTCAGGTACACCAATTAGTCTTAGGTTTCATTGTCTTAGGCCCCACCACTGGGGCCGCTACACGTGACATGGGATGTGGGCCATCGGGCAAAGGGCGCGGAGATGGGGCGCTGCCAGGGGAGCCAAGGAGGAAAGAGAGCACTTTCCAAATTGTCTTCCAGGGTTTCAATGTGCATTTTATTAACTCAGAATCTGTCGGGAATAATACTAGGGAGCTACCTTTCCCTGGAGATGGGTCTTGTCAGTGGAGTGAGATAGGCTGGGGGGAGGAAGAGGAATGGGAGGCTCAGTTTATAAATATTAAGATCAGCAAGGGTGTGCTGCTGGCAGGAGCAGAGGGAGCCTGGAGATTTGGGTGGCTGCCGTTGGTAAGTGGTTGCAATCCAGAGAGTGGGATTGAGTTCCTCCCTTGTCATGTTAGCATCCCGTTTCCTGGGCGCGGGTCTAATGCCCTGCAGGTGGTCATTTCACTCATGGTGGCTTTGTCTCTCTTCTGCCATCTCCAGACTCAGCTTCGCACTCCAGGGCTGCGTACCACCAGCCACTGTCATGTTAACCCCTTCCCAGGCCAATGTGTCCTTGGTCTGGAGCCCAATCTGCTGGACAGCCTGGGACCGTCCATTTTCGGGGTGGTGGGCAACCTGGTGGCCATCGTGGTGCTGTGCAAGTCGCGCAAGGAGCAGAAGGAGACCACCTTCTACACAGTTATGCGGCTGGTTGCCACCGACCTGTTGTTCACTTTGCTGGTGAGCCAGGTGACCATCGCCATGTACATGAAGGGCGGGTAACCTGGGGGCCAGCTGCTGTGTGAGTACAGCATCTTCAGCTTGTTCTTCTTCAGTCAGTCCGGCCTCAGCATCGTCTGTGCCATGATATCTATACAGGTAATTTGTGTTAGACATTCTTAGAAGAGTTTCAAAAGTTTTATGTTTTTATCTGGGTTATAAACAGAGTCCTCAAATGCATACAAAGGAAATCATGCCATGATTGAATTTCAGCAGGAATAAGTTTATTTTACCTATTCAAAATTAAAATACTTTTGTTGTGTTTGAAAATGTGTTTTAAAGATATGTTTTTGAAAAAAGTTTAAGTAAATATTTAATCATGTCCCCTTTTCTATCCCAAGAAATAATTTCATATATAGTTTATTTAAATTTTTTAACAAAAATGTAGCATAATTTTTTTAAATTATATATTTTATTTAACCCAATATATATCCAAAATATTGGGTCAATATGTAATCAATATAAAAATTATTAGAGATAGTTTGCATTCTTTTTTCATATGAAATCTTTGAAATCCATTGTGTATTTTACATTTTAGGATGTCTCAACTCAAATGTGAAATTTTCATGGAGAATATTTGAACTGTATTTAGATTAATACAAATTGCAGTTAAAAAGTTTAATATAGATTTACCAGGGGGCGTGCAGCCCGCTTGCCAATCAGATCGCTGCTGAGCGGTCCCACAGCCAACCCCCGAAGAGCAGCCTGCTGGCTTCCCCAGTGCCCAGGAGTTGGGGATGTCCTACAAACCTACCACCCCTGCCCCCAGCAGCACCCCCGGCTTCAGCACCCCTGGGCCAGGCACTCGGGTCCCTACAGGAAGCGTCCCGTCGCCGTCGGGCTCAGGGCCGGGAGCCACTGCCCCTTGCAGACCGCTGTTTAAAGACTTTGGACCGCCTACCGTCGGTTGTGTGCAGGCCATGAAACCACCTGGTGCCCAGGGCTCCCAGAGCACCTACACAGAACTGCTGTTGGTCACAGGGGAGATGGGCAAAGGGATCCGGCCCACCTATGCTGGCAGCAAGAGCGCCGCGGAGCGCCTGAAGACAGGTATCATCCATCCCTAGTCAGAGTGCCTGGTGGAGACAGAGCGGAACGCCCACACTTAACAGGAAGCTCCTAGGCCTCTGTGTCTGGACTTCAGAGCACCTGCTTCTCCCTGGCCTTCATCCCTAGTTGCACTAACCATCCTGGGCTTCCTGTCCTGTGTCCCTTGATGGGTGCCCTCCAGGAACCAAGGGGCGGTTCTCACTGCAGGTGGCAGCACTAAGGACCCCCCTCCCCACCCCACCCCGCCAACGCAACAAGAGTTAGCAGCGAGGTCCCCGTGAGTCCCACCCATGACCTACAGACAGTGTTGCCCACTGGAACTTTCTGTGGCCCCCACCACTCAGCCCTTCCCAGCACTTGTCCAGAGCCTCTTTCTCCCTCAGCACAGCTCAGGCCTCAGGCCTGACACTTCCCTGCCTTGTGTCTTTTGCTAAATATGACCTTTCTATATTAATAAAAGATGCTTTGGAGTTGTGCTCTCTAAAAAAAAGTTTAATATAAAGGAGAAATAAAAGGAAATTTAGCAAAGAAATATGTAGATGAATATTTAAATACTCAGAGGTGACATTACTACCAGACATAATGAGATTATCAGATGTTTCATTTACTTATGATTAATATGTTTGTATTTATTTTTTATTCATTTTATTTTATTTATGTATTTATTTATTTTTATTATACTTTAAGTTCTAGGGTACATGTGCACAACGTGCAGGTTTGTTACATCTGTATACATGTGCTGTGTTGGTTTGCTGCACCCATTAACTTGTCATTTACATTAGGTATTTCTCCTAATGCTCTCCCTCCCCCAGCCCCCCACCCCATGACAGGCCCCAGTGTGTGATGTTCCCCTGCCTGTGTCCAAGTATTCTCATTGTTTAATTTCCACCTATGAGTGAGAATATGCAGTGTTTGGTTTTCTGACCTTGCGATAGTTTAAACAAACTAGGAAGTTCAGAAGTCACTTTACAAGAGAAATAAAGAAAAATAAAGTATTAATGACATTGGTAACAGAATAAAAATTAGAGTTAGACAAAGTATTAACAAGCAAGCTTATATATTTATAAGAGATGGGAAAATATTAGAAAGGAATAAATCATGTCTTGTCAACATGAAGAAAAAGTGTATTTTTTTTGTTAACTTATTATTGTGTTTCCTTGTATAATTTTCACTTGGTTTTGTTGGTTTTACTACTTGCTTCATTCTTTCAAAAACTACATCTTCATAGACCATTTCAGCTTTTGCTATGTGGGCAGAATTATAAAACCCAATTTCAAAATTTCAACTGAACGTTGTCAGCATTTTTCTTTGGGCTTTTTATTGAAAAAAAATCCTAATTGTGTGTGTGTGTATTTTAGTATGACCATGAATGTAATAACAATAAAATAAAACAAAAACAAATGGATATGCAATATGTTGGACTAGCATCTCAAATATGAAAAAGGCATTGCCAACAGTGATATAATTTTTTTTATAATGGTAAGCTTTTTAAAGTATAATCTTATTTTAACCTAAAATCTTACTATCAGAAAATGCAGTGTACATTAAAATGTTCTGAAATGCTTTATTCACATTTATTAAATGGTTGTACTCACTCAGATATCTACAAATTGGTTTTTCACTTATGTAATTATCTTATAGAATGTTCAAAAGTCATGCAGAATGTGAGATAATTTTCTATTGAATATGATTGTTTTATCATTGCAAGACATCAAACATCCCTGTTTCCTGCCAAATGAATGTACAATAGCAATAAATGTAAAGATGTGTTTTTTGGAAAAGACACATTTTTGAGTTATAAAACAAGGATTTTAAAACTTGAATTGTTACAGTGAGTATGTCTTAATATAGGCTACAGTCACTTTAGATAAAAAATTACCTCACATCTATTTTCAATATTACTTAAAGATGTTCATTTAGTGGCAAATATTTTTTTTTTTGCCTAGAGGCAGATATTTTGCCACATGGCTATTTATGAAACTGTATTTAAATGCATGTACACATATAAAAGCTGCCACTGTGGCTGTAAACTATTACAAGTTATCAAGATTAAAAAATAAACAAAAAATATTTCAGTTTTTCTATGAAATGTCTTTACTCGAGTCCAAATTTAGAGGTTTAAAATGCTTCAAATTAATAAAACCAAGTGTTTCACATATTTCAGTTGGAATGGCATTTGTCCTAGTTTTATTAGTGAAGCAGCAGACTGCATTTTTTCACTCTCATACACCTTCAAAAGATGGACAGAAAAATTTGATAAAACTTCTAGGGCATTATCTGATGAAACACATTAAACACTAAAGGAGATATACAACTTCATTGCTTGTAAAAGACATATAAGAAGGAAACCTACATACATATATCTATCAGTTTTGTATTTTCAGGAAATATTTGCTTTAAAGTGAGCTTCATAACAGTATGTGTTCTCCAACAAAGCCAAGGAAAGTGAGTTTGACACAAGGATCTGGAAGTCTACCTGTGTGGCATAATTACGTTGAATACATTCCACAAATAAGGCAGAAATGTATAGTAGAGTGTCCATTATAGAGGAACACTCAATAAATATTTAATAAAGTGCTTAAAATTTCTCATTATTGACCTGAACAATGAGTATACTTATTATGTTTGCCAGTGACAGATATTAAAAGTGGAGATTGAAGGAAAAATGATGTATAGAAGAGAGATTTTACCTTCAAAGTGACATAAATAATTTGAAGGAATTGAGGGAAGTGACTTGCTTAAATATCCATACAGTAAATATTTATTGTATGCTTACTGTGTGCACTGGGAATTAAGCAGTGAAAAAAATACAAAGGAAAACATCAACAACATCTCTTCTATCATGGAGCTTACATTCTACCAGTAAGAGAAAGACCATCAACAAATACATATGTAGTATAACATGACTATGAATGGTATGGAGAAAAATAAGAACAGTAAGGGGGATGCGGGGGCCTGGGGATTTATTTTATATAAGGTTAGACAACAAAGGCCTCATTACTAAGTAATTTTATGCAATCCTTTTTTCAATTTATTTATTTGTTGATTCCATAATACTTATTTATGTATTTATGTATTTTTGATTTATTTTTTATTTTTAGAATCAGGGTCTCACTCTGTCACCCAGGCTGAAGTGCAGGGGCGTGATCATAGTTCACTGTAACCTTACTCCTGGGCTCAATTGATCCTCCCATCTCAGCCTCCCAAGTATCTTGGTCTACAGGCACCTACCACCATGCTTGGCTAATTAAAAAAAAAAAAATTAGAGATGGGGTTGTGCTACGTTGCCCAGGCAGGTGTCAAAATCTTGGCCTCAAGCAATGCTCCTGCTTTGGCCTGTCTAAGCATTGGGATTATAGGCATGGGCCACCGTGCCTGGCCCTGTAATATGTATTTAGCATATACACTGTGATAGGCACAAGAAAGTCTCTGATAGTTCAGTAAAAAACTGCAATGATGTTTGCAACAGGTAATTAAGTTTGGCCACGATTCTTTTGAGTGTCATAACACTGTCCTAAGAAAAAGTCTATATTTCCACTTTACTGGGTGTGTGAAACTCAAACTCAAGGTTAAAAAGCTCTGATTTTTGGTTGAAATCATAATCCAACTAAAAGCCAGAAATGTGGAGCCATTTTTTTTATTTTAAGTGAATCATAAGCAGTCTTGTATTTAAGACAGATAAAATTATTGTACAGTATTATGTTTTCTGTACTTAAAATGAGAGAAAACCACGAGGGTTGTTAATGTTTGAAAAAAGAAGGCATCTATGAGGAAGCTTTATATTGGTAGAAAGTGTGAAAGGAAAATAAAATCTCAGGACCCCAAACTCACTATGACAAAGGAAAATTAAGCTTGGAACCTGAGTCATGCAAAAACTGCCATCCTTTTGTTCCCAAACAGCTGTAATTTCATATGCTTACTTTAACTTATGTAAAATGTAGATTTCCTGAGAGAGAAGATGAATGCACAACTGACTCCTTCCTCCTGTTTTTGCCACATGTAACATATAGATTCACTGAGCACTAATCAGAGCCTCACAAGAATGTAGCCATTAGCTTTCTTGCCTTCCCTCTCTCCTTCTTTTCCTCCCCTGTTTTAGTTTCCTGCCTGCTTCCTCTTTCTCCTTTAAATATTGAAGTTCCCAAAACCCTCTTTAGAAAAAGCACAGGACATCACCTACTTGTGACTTGTGACCCTTTTCCCAGGTGTATCCTCCACCTTGCAAAGCAAAATCTCTAAATCACTTGAGATCTGCCTCATTCACTTATTGGTTTACAAAAGGAAGTTGGAAAAAACCACTCTTCTTGCAATGCACAAATGACTGTTTTATAGTAACTTTATTGCCTATGCAATCAATCACATATTTGATATAATTATAGTATCAGATGATAAATGTAGATGTAAAAAATCTATCTGTAAAAGTGACTTTTCTTATTTCCCCTCTCTCCTTTTCTCCCCTACTGTGCTTTGAATTCTTTATTTTCATATTCACTTTGCTGGCTTCGGATCATTTCCAAACCTACTCTAATGGTAGCATGATAGCATCCAGTGAGTTTGTTGTTGTTGCTGTTGTGATAGGACCATAGACTTTCACATCTAGTTGTGATATCACATGCTCACATTGTCTAACTACTTCATTTTACAGTTGAAGAAATTGAGACACAAGGTAAGGTGACCTGCCCAGTTCCAATCTAGTTATATAATAAAAGAATGGCTAATATTTAATAAATAATATGAGTCAGGCACTGGGAAAATAAGGCACTTTTTTTTTTTTTTTGAGACAGAGTCTCCTTCTGTCGCACAGGCTGGAGTACAGTGGCGCGATCTCGACTCACTGCAAGCTCCGCCTCCCGTGTTCATGCCATTCTCCTGCCTCAGCCTCCCCAGTAGCTGGGACTACAGGCGCCCACCACCACGCCCGGCTAATTTTTTGCATTTTTAGTAGAGATGGGTTTTCACCTTGTTAGCCAGGATGGTCTCGATCACCTGACTTCGTGATCCTTCCGCCTCGGCCTCCCAAAGTGCTGGGATTATAGGCGTGAGCCATCGCGCCCAGCTAATTTTTTGCATTTTTAATAGAGATGGGGTTTCGCCGTGTTAGGCAGGATGGTCTCGATCCCCTGAACTCATGATCCGCCTGCCTCGGCCTCCCAAACTACTGGGATTATAGGCTTAAGCCACCGCGCCCGGCAGTAAGGCACTATTTTTATCTCTATTTAAAAATGTAGAAACTGAGCCAAAGAGAGGATATGGTATTTGCCTGGGATCATAGGATTAGTAAATGTCTGAGTTGGTATTTAAAGGCAGGCTTCCAGATTTCATAGCCCATCCACAATCGCATGCCACTCAAGTCTTCTGGCTCCGACTTCTCTGCAATTTACACAGCCCTACACTGCCTTCCTCCTAAACTCTCCAACCTCCTATTTTTTTCAGCTCTAAACTTTGATTCCCTAAACACAGCAGTCAGGGACAGGTGGAAGATTGTTGTGAAAAGAACAGGCAGCAGCATTACGGTTTAGCCTGTTTTTATATCTATTTTATTCTACAGATTAGTGTACTTTTCTCAATTATGCATACTTTTCCATTCTGCCAAAAATTTATTTTAAGGCTGTTAAAGCTGTAGTCAATTTTCTCACTTTGATCTTCCAAAGGAACCTGCCGTATCTTTTTCATTCTGTGCAAAATAGGCATTTTAGGATCCACTCAATGCTAAAGTCACTGAGTAGCTACAGACTTGCTATTTGTTTCTCCATTGTTATATTTTCATAGTTTTAGAATCTGAGCAGCATTTAATTTGTCTATGCTTTATATTTTCCTTTAGAGAAAGAACACAGTGATACTTGCTCATAGTGTTAGAGGAATAATCCCAAAGAGAGAAATTATTCTTCGAATATCCACCATGACTGAATACTTAGTAATACTGAAACCTACTTATAAAACAAAACAGAAAACCTCCAAAAAACCAAATAAACAACAAAAAAAACTTAAAACCAAAAAAGTACTGGAAGTCTCAGAAGTATTTAGCAGTTATTCTTGCTCCTTCAAATGAAAAGATGCTTTATCGTATCCTCTATGGAGAGAATTCTGACAGTATTTATCAAAGACCTTACATTTATTCACCTTTTGCCCTAAAAATTTCATAACTTAAAAATACATACAACAATTTATAATATAGCATTTTTTGTAAAGGGAAATAATCAGAAAGAGCCTAAGTGTTCAACAATAGGGCACTTGTTGAATTATGATACAATCACACAATAAGGTCTTCATAGAGCCCATTAAAATGATGTTATTGATATTTATTTATTAATAGGAGAAATCATTTAGAATTTTTGGTTAAGACCTTTAACTAAGCACAAAGTCTATGAAATAATGTGCACAACATTCCATATTTTCATAAGGGGAATGACTTTTAAAACTACCCTGCAATCATCTCATTTTACACAAATGTCTAGGCAGGTTTGTTACCCAGGTATATTGTGCCATGCTGAGGTTTGGGGTATGACTGATCTCATCATGCAGATACGAAGCTTAGTACCCTGTAGTTTTTCAACCCTGGCTGCCCTCCCTACTGCCTCTACTAGTCTCCATTGTCTATTATAGTCATCTTTTCTTTTTTTAAAAAAAATCTGTTTTTCTGATTTTTTTATTAGGTAAAAAATGGAAAAACAAAATATAATTTTCATTCAATACATATTTCATCTTTATGCGTTATTTTTTGAGAAAGTGAAGTCCATTTAGAATGATAGCAGTTCATCAACCAAATAATTCATCTTCACACAGTTTCAATTACTTCAGAAATTTTCTTCATCTCTCTCTCTGTAGAAATTCTCAAACTGTGGAATGGTCATCTTTATCGTCATAAATACTGTCATCTTTATGTCCAAGAGTATCCAACATTTAGCTACCAAACTACTACCCAAATCTGATTAATTGATCATGTTGATTCTGTCACATTCTACTTGTCATATCAGATTTTTATTAAAGAAATCATTAGCTTATCTATTATTGTTACTGGGGCTGTAAGAAAATTTTATAAGTCATTTGGATCAATCCTCTTCTTTATGGTCTTATTTGAGAATAAAACTTGGTTCTGTCTTAGCCTGTCATTGAATAAGCCAGTGATCTGGGGCAAATCTAACTGCTTCATCTGTAAACTATGAATGATAATAGAGTCCCTCTGCCTGTCACACATGGGTATAGTAAGGTTCCATTTTAAAAATAGCTCTTATTATGTTACCTGAAAGGCATTCTATAATGATGAGTGGCAAGGTGGTCTTAGCAACAGTGTGGTGAAAATTGGGACCATTTTCTGTCGCTATCATTTCTATTTTTGTGATACCCTCTTTAAATTAGTCTTAGGATGTAATTCAAAGGAGTGATGTAATTGGAATTTTCTTCTTTTTTTTTTTTTTTTTTTTTGAGACAGAGTTTCCCTCTGTCGCCCAGGTTGGAGTGCAGTGGCGCAATCTGGGCGCACCGCAAGCTCCGCCTCCTGGGTTCACGCCATTCTCCTGCCTCAGCCTTGTGAGTAGCTGAGACTACAGGCGCCCGCCACCGCACCTGGCTAATTTTTTGTATGTTTGGTTGAGACGGGGTTTCACCATGTTACCCAGGATGGCCTCGATCTCCTGACCTCATGATCCGCCCAGCTCGGCCTCCCAAAGTGCTGGGATTACAGGCGTGAACCACCGCGCCCGGCCCATAATTGGAAATGTTTGTACTGTTAGATCTAAGAGTATTTTATGTGGTATAATAAAAGATTAATTTAGTGAACCTCATTAGATAATTAGCATGGAATATATTATGCACTGCCATGCAGGGGCCTAAGAGAATGGTCCACACGTCTTGCGAAGTTGATATGAAGACAGGCAACAAGACAGTCTAGCTGAGTAAAAGTCTGTAGACATCTCTAAGGAGGAGTGGTTAGAGAATGCCCTGACGGTGGATAGCTGGCATATTTTACCCCAGAAAGAAGAGCACAGAGTGGCAGAGAGTACTTGAGATTTAAATAAGAAAAGAGGATGAAAAAATTACTTTCACTAATTATAAATTTTCTCAAGAATGGACTTATTCTCTATTTTCTATTGCCTCTTGAGAAATCATTATTTTGCATTCAGTCAACATGATTATTAAGACTAATTGTGGAGGGTGTTCAAAATGGAAAAACAGCGGTCCCTAGGATTATATTGTATTTATGAATGATCACTCATTTGTAACTTTTCCTTCAGTTAGATGTTTTTTAATGCAAAAATACCTTTTAAGCACCAGTACAATTTGTGAAACGAAATGTGAAATTCAGGCATATATGTAATTTTATGTGTAAAATATTCCCTTTTTTTCTGTTAATGAAGTAAGTATGTTTAACATGAGATATATCCTCTTAATAAATTTTTAACTGCTCAATAGAATCTTGTTAACTATAGGTGCTCTGTTGACAGCAGATCTCTAGAACTTATTCATCTGTTATAACTGAATTTTATACCCATCAAACAGCAACCCCCATTTCCCCTCCTTCAAGACCCTGGCAACCAGTATTCTACTCTGTTTCTAGGAGTTTAACTATTTTAGATACCTTACGTAAGTGGAATCAGGCAGTATTAAAACATACTTTCAATTAGTAATGACTATAATTCGGATAATTTAAATAAGAGAAAGCAAACATCACTACTACTAGCTTTTGGGGGAAAATATTACAAATAGGGATATTGTGATAAAAGTGTACAATATTTTTTATATTTGTGCACTTAGATCCGTGTTCAAACTTTGCCACCTATACATGTATAGCACATTTGAATATGTGCTACAGTATGCCATTTATAAAGACTGAAAATAACATTTTATAAAATATTATTATTTATTTGGCAACCTCATGAGCTTTGGCTTCAAAAATACCTGATTTACAAAGCATAATCCTAGTGCTGGAGAACAGATCAGTGGCTGCCAAAGGTTAGGGTTGGTTGGAAGATGTGATTAGTGAGGGATAACATGAAAACATGTACTTTCTTTGTGGTGATAGAGCAGTTCTGCATCCAGATTATGGTGATGGTTACATAAATCCGCACTTCATAGATCTATACACACACATCACACATACACTCACACACACCTACACAAGAGTACATGTAAAATCCTTAGAAATATGAATAGGGTCTGAACCTGAGTTAATGGTATGTAAACAATGTCAATTTCCTGATTTTGGCAATGTGCTAGGTTAAGTTATATATAATTATTGGGGAAAGTTGGCTGAAAATAACACGGTCATTCTTTTTACTATTTTTTAACTTCTTGTGAGTCAAATTATTTAAAAATAATTGGTATTAAACAAAGACAAAAAATCTAAAATTTCTAAAATCAAAGCCCTTATGAATTTGAACATATTATTTGATTTCTTTTGTAGACCTTGATTTCTTCACCTGTAAAAATGGAATGATAGTAGAATTTCTATCTCATTATTGTCATGCTTAAACCATAACATTTATGTAAGTGCCCAGTACTGTGTCTGGTGAACAATAATGCTTAAACACTGAGTTCCCCACTTTTTTGTGGCTGTTGGTTTTCAGGTGGTTTTTAAGTTCCTAAGTGGAAGTTTGTTTAAAAAGAGGCAGTCAAAATAAACAGCGATGTCTCAGAGCATCATCTGAACAAGAAAGGAAGGTGTTCTCCATCCCTTGAAGTGGTCTCAGTCCTCTTTTATTGTTTAGCTCTCATGTGAGTCTTCAGAAATAACCTCAAGAATTGCTACAACATCAACAGAGAATTAACTCTCATTGAGTTTTTAGCTCAGTAGATTCTGGGTCCTAAAATTTATGGACTCACCTGCTTTTTAAATTTTTCCCATTTAGAAATATTCAATTTAAATCTTCCTTCAGTAAGTAATTGTTAACTATTAACAATCCTAACATTATAATAAAGTCAGAAGTAACATTTATTACTTTTGTTTTCCACTCATACTGCTTGCAGTCCATAAGCATACAGCATTTTGGTCTTTCCAAATATCTAAAGGAAGATAATCAAAATCAAAACTAAGAAATCCTACTCTGAAGTCATATCTCTCTAACTAGATTGTATATTTATTGAGGGTGATGACTATATTTTCTTTTCCAGGAGAACAAAACAAATACAAGGTTGGGATGAAGTGAATTTAGTGGGGGATGGAGAGGGGAAGGAGTCAAGTTTCTTCATCCTTTTCCATGCTTTGATAACTTTATCTGTGAGATCCTAGTTAAAAGAACATGACTATCTAAAGAAGTAAGTGCTTGAAAGGCCCACTGTATTAGGAGATTAGGAATTGTTAGCTTGAAAAGACATAAATGGAAAGAAAACATAACATAGAGACAAAATACATGAAATTTTTATTGTGGTACACATGTGCTTTGTGATCATATTTCTGTGTCATAAACAAAAAAAAAGTATAAAGCTTAACCAAGAGAAATTTAGGGCACATAGAAGCATTTACGTGTTTTCATACTATGAGCTGGGGCTAAGGTGTCCTTTACCATGACAGTTGGTGAAGCATAAGAACAAATCAATTCACAAATGTTCTGGTAAATTCCAATTTCCGCATCTTAAATCATAGACCTAAGTCAGTCAAAGTCAGTCATATATATAGATATGTGTGTGTGTGTGTGTGTGTATATATATATATATATACAGGCACCTACATAAGTGGTATGATTTAAGCATGACAATAATGAGATAGGAATCATACTATTATTCCATTTTTACAGGTGAAGAAATCAAGGTCTATAAAAGAAATCAAATCATATGTCCAAATTCATATGGGCTTTGATTTTTGAACTTTCAAATTTTTGTCTTTGCTTAATACCTTTTGTTTTAAAACAATTTGACTCATAAGAAGTTAAAAAAAGAAGTAAAATGAATGACCATGCTATTTTCAGGCAACTTTCCCCAATGATTTTATCTAACTTAACCTAGTACGTTGCCAAAATCAGGAAATTGACATTGTTTCCATACCATTAACTCAGGTTCAGACCCTATTCATATTTCTAAGGATTTTACATGTACAGATGTGTTTGAATGTATGTGTGATGTGTGTGTATAGATCTATGAAGTGTGGATTTATGTAACCATTACCATTATCTGGATGCAGAACTGCTCTATCACCACAAACAAAGTACATGTTTTCACGTTATCCCTCACTGATCACATCTTCCAACCAACCCTAACCCTTGGCAGCTACTGTTCTGTTCTCCAGCTCTGGGATTATGCTATGTAATTCAGGTATTTTTGAAACCAAGCTTATGAGGTTGCTAAATAAATAATAATGTTTATAAACTATTATTTTCAGTCTTTATAAATGGCATACTGTAGCACATATTCCAATGTGCTATACATGTATAGGTGAGCCAAAGTTTGAACATGGATCTAAGTGCACAAACATAAAAAATATTGTACACTTTTATCATATCTCTATTTGTAATCTTTTTCCCCAAATACTAGTAGTAGTGATGTTTGCTTTCTCTTATTTAAACTATCAGAATCTTTAAACTTTCTCTTATTTAAACTATAGTCATTACTAATTGAAAGTATGTTTGAATACTGCCTGATTCCACTTACACAAGATAGATATATATATCAGTCATATCTATGTGTGTGTATATATTTATATATATGTCAGTCATATATATGTGTGTGTATATATTTATATATATATGTCAGTCATATATGTGTGTATATATTTATACATATCACATACCCACATATATAGACGGAGTTAGGTCTATGATCTCTGTATAAATTTATATACACACATATGTATTTTTAAACTATTACATGAAGCAAATAGTACAGTTGATTTCATATAACAAGACTTACTGGATGTATATGGGCAAAAGTTAATGCATATGGGCAAATAAATTGATGAACTTACAGACTCATTTATTTGACATATATTTATTGTGTGGTCTCTATTGAATGCTGGGTATCTTCCAGGAGCCTAAAATTCAGCAGTGAACGTAACAGGCTCAAATCCTTGTACTCAAGTAGCTAATATTCTAATCGAGGGAGAAGACAATAAACAAAGTTAATAAGCAAAATATTCAACATACTAGTTGATAGGAAGTTCTGTGGTGAAAAATAAAGTAAGAGGAAAAGAATGAGAGGAAGCTCTAAAAGCAACTGAAGATTTACATGAAGAAGCTGCCCAGGCATTGGCCCAGAGTGGGAGGAAGCGCCATGAGTTCAACAGGCAGGTCCCAGTTCAGTGGAAAGAAAAGGATTTCCAGGGCATGTTGGAGTGCCACAAAGAGGGCGAGGCCCTCCTCATCCTCAACCTGGTGACAGACTTGAAGCCCCAGATGCTGTTGGACACAGTGCCTTGTCTCCCCGCCTACATCCCCTACATGTGCATCCGGCTCGCGGACCAAACCAACGATGATCTCAAGGTGCACTCCCTGATGACCTCCACCACCAACGGCATTAAGAAAGTCCTGAAGAAGCACAGTGATGACTTTGAGATGACGTCATTCTTGTTATCCAACACCTGCCACCTTCTTCACTATCTGAAGCGGTACAGCGGGGATGAGGGCTTCATGACTCAGAATACTGCAAAGCACAACGAACACTGCCTTAAGAACTTTGACCTCACTGAATACCGTCAGGTACTGAGCGACCTTTCCATTCAGATCTACCAGCAGCTCTTTAAAATTGCCAAGGGTGTGTTACAGCCGATGATAGTTTCTGCCATGTTGGAAAATGAGAGCATTCAGGGTCTATCTGGTGTGAAGCCCACTGGCTCCCAGAAGCACTCCTCCAGCATGGCAGATGGGGATAACTCATACCACCTGTAAGCTATCATCTGCCAGATGAATGCCTTTCATACAGTCATGTGTGACCAGGGCTTGGACCCTGAGATCATCCTGCAGGTATTCAAACGGCTCTTCTACATGATCAACGCAGTGACTCTTAATGACCTGCTCCTGCGGAAGGACGTCTGCTCTTGGAGCACAGGCATGCAACTCAGGTACAATATAAGTTAGCTTGAGGAGTGGCTTTGGGGAAGAAATCTTCACCAGAGTGGAGTAGTTCAGACCATGGTACCTCTGGTCCAAGCGGCCCAGCTCCTGCAATTAAAGAAGAAAACCCAGGAGGATGCAGAGGCCATCTGCTCCCTGTGTGCCTCTCTCAGCACCCAGCAGATTGTCCAACTTTTAAACCTTTAGCCTCCCCTGAATGAATTTGAAGAACAGGTAACAGTGGCCTTTATACAAACGATCCAGGCACAACTACAAGAGCAGAATGACCCTCAGCAACTGCTATTAGATGCCAAGCACATGTTTCCTGTTTTGTTTCCATTTTATCCATCTTCCCTAACCATGGAGTGAATCCCAGCATGTCTCAATCTGGAGTTCCTCAATGAAGTAGATGCATGTTTAGTCTGATTCCCAATGTGAGCAAAAAGGAAGCATAGACAGTAAAGTAAATTCAAGGATCTGTTAAATCTGGTAAAAGTAGATCAAATCAGAGATCGACAGCCTGTGGAGAGTGCTGAACTATACAGAATTAGACACAACTATGGCATTATTTTTTGTACGTACTGCTCAGAATAAAAGCACTTGAAATGTGGAAGATTTTAAGTTTGATTTCAGTCCAACAAATATACATAATAATTTATAATAATTTATAGACACCAAGCAGTCCCCATAGCCATATAAAAGATGCCAATTCTATAAAATGAAGCTGCCGAGTTTTAATCTTTGCATATAACTGGAGAATGTCCAGATTAAAATACTAACTATATATAAGTCACATAAATTGCCTTCAAAGTGCTTTTAACAAATAATAGTACTAATAACCATGATAATGGCATATACTGACATTTCCCAAAGTTTGCAAACCATAGGTGTGGTAGAGTTTGTGGTGAGATGTGTTAAGAACAAAAATATGGGGATGAGACTTCTGAGAAATGTCCCCAAAATATTTTTTAATGGCTGATTATACAAAGACAGCAGTGTAACTGACCTCCAAACCAGACATTTTGAGTACTGGTTTCTGAAGAAAAATTAGAAGTGCCAGTCCTCAGTGTCCTCAAACGCTTTTGTGTAATCTTGGTTTAATGGAAGAGATGATTAAAATGCTGCTATCTGAAACTCCAAGTGAGAAAGATGAAAAATAATTTGTGTCTGATGCTAGTCCATACACTTTCCAAGTCCCACAAAGCTCTCACAAAAATGTATATAAGCTAAATATTACAAAATGATAACAACTTGTTTTATTTATAGATGTAAAAACCAAACAATGTGAAAGCTTTTAATCTCTTAATACCATTAAGCCTCCAGTAAGAGCCTCATATAATGCTCTACTATTCCAAACAACTGAATAGTAAAACAAACTAACCTCACACATCAGATTATCTGAAAAACCTTCAAAAATACTCAGTTCAGGGATTACTATTATACAAAAGTTTGGGGTTTTTTAAGAGAATAAAATGGCTTAGGTCAACTTTCCCCTTTCAGGTTATTTTCAACGTTTTTCAAACGTTGTAATTCAAAATTGTAAATATCTCTCCTATGAAATAAGGATTTTAAAAAAGAGTAATTCAGTAATATAACAGACGTAGATGTTTGCTGCTCTTAGAATTTTTTGTTTGTTTGTTTTTGGGCTCTTCAAAAGCAAGCATTCAGTTAGAAACCCATATTATTCTTTCCACACTTTTTTTATTATACTTAAATTTCTAGGGTACATGTGCACAATGTGCAGGTTTGTTGCATATGTATACATGTGCCATGTTGGTTTGCTGCACCCACTAACTCGTCTTTTCCATTAGGTATATCTCCTAATGCTATCCCTCCCCCCTCCCCCCACCATACAGCAGGCCCTGGTGTGTGATGTTCCCCTTCCTGTGTCCAAGTGTTCTCATTGTTCAATTCCCACCTATGAGTGAGAACATGTGGCGTTTGGTTTTTTGTCCTTGCGATAGTTTGCTGAGAATGATGGTTTCCAGCTTCATCCATGTCCCTACAAAGGACATTGAACTCATCATTTTTTATGGCTGCATGGTATTCCATATTCTTTCCACGTATTTTTTTTTTACTGTCTTTTCCCTATTTCTTGATAGCAGTATGCTGTTTCCATGATAAGAACAAATAGTGTTTGCCAATCATAGAAGAACAGCCTCTGCATTACATTGAGAAAATGAGATTTATCCATGGATTGGAAGTAGAACAGCCTGCCTCCACCCTCCTTTACTCAGCCACCCAACTTAAAAGGCTCTCGGAAACATAGCACACTCCAAGCTACCTTCTGTACTGTGCCCTTAGAGCACAGCTTCCTCAATCGTTCTCTGCATCTCCTGGGGCTTAACCCAGTCTTAGCCTGCGTTGAGGCTGCTGACAGTTGTGTTCCAATCAGTTGCCATGGACATTATCCCTTCTACATCCACATTAAACATGCCAGCTTCTCTTGGGTGTCTGCAGAGCTGTGCCTTTTTCTTTCAGTTACAGTTACATAATCACTGACGTCCATGACACTCACACATGGATCCATGTGCTGACTTCATTTAGAAGGCCAATCTAAAACAACTGGGTTTGTGGCTACCTCTTTAAAGTTGTTTGTGAAGTATAATTTGCTTTTTGATGCACTTTAGTTTGAAACTGAGTCCCTTATGTAAGGACTGTCCTTAATCTTAAAAGACCAAAAATGCCTTGTTAGAGTGTTAAGGAGTTTTGACATGCAGTGGTTCCACAAATACAGTGGCTTACTGTCCTTATATACTGTCTTACACCATCGTTCTCTCCATCTCTCTTGGTCACTACTGTCTGCTGTCACTGGTTAATCACTAGATGCCAAGAGCTTACTGAACACAAGCTTGGCAGTCAGAATAAATGGGGAGGGAAGGACCTTATGAATCATCTATTTAGCCTAAGAAATGGCAGGTTTAGTTCTTCTCTTCCAAAAGATACAGGTATATCACTGGAATTGTACTTAAAATTTATAGATGACTAGCAAATATATACTCTATATGTACTTAACATTTAGATCAGTCTTATTTAATACTTGGAGGTTAGAAGAAGCATCTTTAGGGGAACTATATAATATTCTCTTAGCATTTTCTCTGCATTTTTAAAAATCATTTCAACTCCAACACTTATCAGCGTCATGAAATCAGTAATGACTCTTAAACAATTCAACATAAAGGTTTGAACTCTGCACTAGATGTCTCTTTAATTTTTTAATATTTAAAATTTAGTTCAGGCTTTTCTCACCAGGTGCCTTTAGTGGTGACTAAGATAACTGACTTAATTGTTTCTCTGAAATAAGTGTTGCTGTGGGAATAATTTTAATGTTCAATGTGATATCATGGTGGAGTTTTGTCTTTTAAAACATTAGAAGCATTTTAAATACTAAGAATCAAATATTTATAGATCAAACACTTGTGTTTTAAGTATGATACAGGACCTGTTTACATATAGTAAATGTGTATGTATACATGAGTTGTTGCTGAAGCCGACAAGCATATTACATACATGCATTTTCCCTGTGCCATCATAGTTGCAGTTAGAGTTCTAGTACCTGTAAGCTCGCCTGGGAGGCAGATTAGACCCAAAGGTAGACATTTTTCCCTTTCCCTGAAGCATGATGGTGGGAGTTGATTCTTTGATTTCCTTAGTACCAAACTTTAAGGCTTTTGTAAAAACAAAACAAAAAAAATCTAGGAGCTTGGAACATTTAAAAATTAACGCTGCTACCATCAATTCATCAAATATTTACTTAGAACCTTCATACATTAAGATGCAGGTAACCAATAAATTAGAATTTATTTCTTCTGCATAAAGTAAATTTTCATACACTCGACCTACTGAGACAGCAAAGGTGTCCTAATTTGAGGCATTTGTATAATGCCTACATAACTAAATGGTAACTAAAATGGGACAGCATGGGGCAAGACCTTGCAGTTCTTCACAGACCATTTGTCATCAGTTTCTCCAATTAATTTGCTGCATGAGCCAAATAACCATAATTCACCTTTTGTAACCACTGGAGCCATAATTAAAGAATTAGAGGGTGTAGACAGAGGTTAATGCCAGTGACAAACACAGGGCAGGATTTATTATTATTATAAAGAGTCATTACATACAAAAGATTTTTTTTTAATTCCTAATTCTAACAAAGGGGATCAACCAGAAATGAAACTAAGCTACTTTCTGAAGTGACACTGTATCAGAATAATCCAGATTTGAGTATAACATTTTGCCACCCACTGACATTTAGATGAAGGACTGCCTCTCCGGAAGAGTTCAGAACATATTCAGGGGTGAACCTAACACCAAGGAAGAAAGACTACTGATGAAAATATTTTTCCGCTTTGAACAAATCTGTAAACTACATCTTTCTTTATAGAAAAATGCTTGGAATAGTCACTGTAATATTTAGCTGTGGATAAAAATTTGTGGAAATAAATACTTTTGAATTAGAAAAAGCAAGGAAGAAGAATGGGGTTGATAGGATGTATATTTAAAATAGATTATCCAGGAACAACTGCACTGTGTTATATATATATGTGTGATAATATATGTGTAATTATATATCACTATATATGATAAATATATCTTTATATCTGGTGCAGGTGAGTAAATAACCCATGCAAATATTGGGGGGAGGAACAGTCCAGGCACTGCAGGAATATCAAAAAGGTCAATATGACACAAGCAGAGTAATGACAGAGTGACATGGAGTGAGGAGCAGATGAAATAATAAGAAAAGTAGGCAGGTCGTTTTGAAGGGTATGCTTCTCAAATTCTAATTTGCATATAAATCACCTAGGTTTCACATTAAAATAAAGATTCTGATTCAGGTGGTCTGAAGAGTTTATATTTCTTACAAGTTTCAGGGGATGCTGGTGCTACTGGTCTGTGTATCACACTTTGAATACCAAAGGACTGGAGATGCGTGCATGGTAAGGAGCTTTGGGTTGAGTACTGTGGGTTGAATTGTGTCTTCCCCAAAAAAGATGTTCAAATCCCAACTCTCAGTACTTGTAAATATGACATTACTTGGAAATAAAATCTTGCCTAGTCAATCAAGTTAAGTGGATTCAGATGGGCCCTTATCAAATGACTAGTGTGCTTGTAAGAACGTGGATATTTAGAAAAACACACGGTGGATAAAGTATGTGAAGAAGAAGGAAGAGATTGGAGTCACGTAACTACAAGCCAAAGAATGCCAAGGATTGATGGCAACTGTGAGAAGCTAGGAAAAGACAAGGAAGGATCCTCCCCTGGAGTCTTCAGAGACCATGACCCTGATGACACCTTACTTTCAACTCCTAGCCTCCAGAACTGTGAGAGAATAAATTTCTGTACTTTTAACCTGCTCAGTTGGTGGTAATTTGTTACAGTAGCCTGAGGAAACTAATACCTTGAGTGGGATGGAGAGTGAAGTCATTGGAGGGTTTTAAGAGAAGAATGGCTCGGTCTGACATATTCTTAAAGAATCACCCTAATTGCAGAAACTAGAATAGACTGAAGGCAAGGGGCTACAGGGAAGTAGGAAGACCAGTTAGGCGGCTATAGCAGTAAACCTAACTGGAGAGTGGAGAGATGGTGGTTTGAATCAGGGTGGTAGTGACGGTGGTGAGACAGGAACAGAATCTGAAGATGTTTTGAATTACTATTGATAAAATTTGTTAACATAGTATGAGCTATAAAAAAATGAGGGTGGCTGGGAATGGTGGCTTACTCCTGTAATCACGGCACTTTGGGAGGCTGAGATGGGTGGATTACCTGAGGTCAGGAGTTTGAGACCAGCCGGGCCAACATGGTGAAACCCTGTCTCTACTAAAAATACAAACATTAGCCGGGCATGTTGGCGGGTGCCTGTAATCCCAGCTCCTCAGGAAGCTGAGGCAAGGGAATCACTTGAACCCAGGAGGTGGTGGTTGCAGTGAGCCAAGATCATGCCATTGCACTCCAACCTGGATGACGAGAGTGAAACTCCATGTCAAAAAAAGTAGAATAATTTATAATACTTTGGGTAGAAACCTAGTAATGGGATTGCTGGGTCAAATGGTATTTCTGGTTCTAGAACCTTGAGAAATCACCACACTGCCTTCCACAATAGTTGAACTAACTTACACTCCCATCAACAGTGTAAAAGCATTCCTATTTCTCCATATCCTCTCCAGTATCTATTGTTTCCTCACTTTTTAGTGGTCGCCATTCTAACTGGCATGGGATGGTATCTCACTGTGGTTTTGATTTGCATTTCTCTAATGACCAGTGATGTGGGAGATCGGTCAGGGTGGTGGGAGAAGCTATAAGGAAAGACGCAAGCCTTCTTGAAAGGTTGGAAGGTCTTGCAAAAGCTTCATGAGAGAATAAAGGTGAAGGAAGAAAATTCTCTTTCTCTGAGGCTAAGGGTGAGAAGTAGGTGCAAGGAAAAGTAAAGAAGTTTATCTAAATAGGCTTGTTTACTTATGTCGCCAGGAAACTGACTTTTGAACTTCTGAGCATGAGACTGCTCCCTGTAAGAGGGAGCAAAAATGTTAATTACCCAGCAATTGTGTTGACTCCAGGCCTTGGATGTTATACCAGTACTGAATAAATACAAGCAGCTCTGGCTTATCGAGACTGCTAACTCTCCTCTGCCCCTAGGGCTCGCAGCCTCCTAGCCTGCTCTTACCCTGTATATTTGTGTCTGAGTACTCCTTTCTTCTGTTGCTCAGCCAGGGTCTGCGGGATGGACCCGGCACAGTGATGATGAGCTTTTTTTCATGTTTGTTGGCCACATAAATTTCTTCTTTTGAGAAGTGTCTGTTCACATCCTTTGCCCACTTTTTGATGGGGTTAGCACAAGCACATGTATGTTTACTGCAGCACTATTCACAATAGCAAAGACTTGGAACCAACCCAAATGCCCATCAATGATAACCTGGATAAAGAAAATGTGACACATATATACCATGGAATATTATGCAGCCATAAAAAAGAATGTGTTCATGTCCTTTGCAGGGACATAGATGAAGCTGGAAACCATCATTCTCAGCAAACTAACACAGGAACAGAAAACCAAACACTGCATATTCTCACTCATAAGTGGGAGTTGAACAGTAAGAACACATGGATACAGGGAGGGGAATATTACACACAAGGGCCTATCAGGGGGTGGGGGGTAAGGGAGGGATAGCATTAGCAGAAATACCTAATGTAGATGACAGGTTGATAGGTGCAGCAAACCACCATGGCACATGTATACCTATGTAACAAACCTGCATGTTCTGCACCTGTATCACAGAACTTAAAGTATAATTTTTTAAAAAAATAGGGCTGCCAAGGGTATAAACAGGGTGTTTTGTGGCTTAATAACTGTATAACTATAAGGATGGAGTCTATTACCTCCTGATATGAGGAACATGATGAGAGAAGGTGAGAATGGGGAAGATGCTGGGTAAGTGGGGAGAATAGTAGGAGATTAAGAGCTCTTTTTGAGGTAGGTTCGCTTTGAGATGCCTATTTTGCCTGCAAGTGGAGATAGTAATTAGGCTACTTGGCGTAAGTCTGGAGTCCAGAGCATAGGTCTCCACTGGAGATTTATCTGATATGAGTTATTAAGAGAAATTATGATGTTTGGCAAGCATGTCCTTAAGTTGTGAGATTAACATCAAGAAGGACAATCATGTACTTCTAAAACATGGTGTTCCGTGTCACTTATTTGAAAACATACTGGGCCATTATTTGACCTGTGACAGTTCTGACATTCAGTCTAAGACTACCAGATATGAAAGTCAGGAGACTGATTATTTTCTTTTTTGGTGCTTTTCTCACTCTAAACTTCAACTTTCCATATCATTAAAACCACTAAGGTAAACAATTAGCCTAAGAGGTATATTCATTATTTTTTTGCTGCCTTTAAATTTGATGCCTCATTGTAAAAAATATGACCTCACTTGTATTTGTGTGGATGATATTTTAAAAGATCATACTGGGCAGAGAATATGGACACTTTCATTATTTAATACTTTAGACTAATGCCAATCATTCAAACATGAATTCTTCATTCATCTGTCTTGTCAAAGAAACAGAGCTCATATTGCATATGTGAAATATCACCTAGTGTCTATTTCAATCGTATATATTTTCTGTTTGTATCTTAGAAAAATTATTTCACCTCAACAAGCATATTGCTTTTTGGAATTATCTGGATATAGTGATAAAATAATTATTTTCATCAACATCTGAAGAAAATGCCTATGTATCTGTTGGGATGGGAGGTGGGATGGAGAGGTGTGCAGTTGTCTAGCACCACTTGTGGCTGGGAAGGTATGTGTGTCTACAGTAACAGAAAAATCTATTGTTACCCCAAAGATTCCCCATAGCTCCTTTAAAAATAAACCTGCCATCTTGATCTCCATCTGCCTGAATCTTTGCGTATCTCTCCCTTAGTTCCAAATTCTGACAGAGAATAGAAGCATATTTATCAATCCTTCAAGCCCCAGTAGAAGCATCAGAGGGAGAAAACTTACCTATTTTGAAATGGTTGACCAATTCTCAGTGACAAAGCTATAGTTACAGTCTGATTTTCTTGTCCATTGCCAAGAAAAAATGATTCAGTCTGACTCCAATTTATAAGGGCATGTTGAACAGCAAGAATCCTACTTGTAGAGATTCTTCTTCTAGGCATGAGGAATGGTTACTCCAGGTAATGGATTCCTAATTTGCCCTTCTGTGGAACTAGATTCGCATGACAGATGACAGAATATTTGTCACCTTAAGATTCTTAAAAAAATTAATTTAAAGCCATGCTATTTCTAATTGTTTTGGCTTATGCTCTGAAGTTTTTTTGTTTGTTTGTTTTTTGTTTTTTGTTTTTTTGAGACAGAGTCTCGCTCTGTCGCCCAGGCTGGATTGCAGTGGCGCAATCTCGGCTCACTGCAAGCTCTGCCTCCCCGGTTCACGCCATTCTCCTGCCTCGGCCTCCCGAGTAGCTGGGACTACAGGCGCCCGCCACTACACCTGGCTAATTTTCTGTATTTTTAGTAGAGAGGGGGTTTCACCGTGTTTGCCAGGATGGTCTCGATCTCCTGACCTCGTGACCCGCTCGCCTCGGCCTCCCAAAGTACTGGGATTACAGGCGTGAGCCACCGCGCCCGGCCCTGAAGTTTTTCTAAGGCTGCCAAAATTGTAGTCACCAACATGATAGGTACCATTTTTCCATTATCCAGTATAAAATGTATATAATATGTTATATAATATAAAACTTAATGTATCTGCTGGTGCATATAGCTTTAATATCATATAAGCTATATGAAAGCAGAAATATGCATTTAAATTCAACATTTGCAGAATGTTTCCTTTTTTTTTTTTTTTTTTCTTGAGACAAGAGTCTCGTTCTGTCGCCCAGGCCGGAGTACAGTGGTGTGATCTCGGCTCACTGCAACCTCTGCCTCCCGGGTTCATGCCACTTTCCTGCCTCAGCCTCCTGAGTAGCTGGGACTACAGGCCCCCGCCAACACACCCAGCTAATTTTTTGTATTTTTAGTAGAGACGGGGTTCACCGTGTTAGCCAGGATGGTCTTGATCTCCTGACCTCGTGATCCGCCCACCTCAGCCTCCCAAAGTGCTGGGATTATAGGCATAAGCCACCGTGCCCGGCCTGCTTTCAGCTCTTACAATCGAGGGTAAATCTACTTATAGGGTGGATTGCAATATGCATATATTTGAAGAAACCTGATACACATTGCTTCATTTTTTCATACAGCCTTAAGCAGATTATTAAATTTACCTTTTTATTTGAGTACTAACACTTTTCCTACATAGTTAGAGAGAGCTGTTTGCTCAGTTAATGCAGCAAAGGGATGAGGGTAAGAATGTGTGACAGTTAGCTCATTCTGATTTGCTTATTGATTGTTGGACATATTCCCTCAATTACTTGACCTCAGCTCCCATACTGAGGCTTACATTAGGTGAACACCCAGGGTCTCAGGGCTCCACGTGGGTGTTTGAAATCACTTGTCTAGATATATAAAAGAGAACAGAATATACTCACCACTTGCTTGGACACATTTTACTGCCTAAACAGTTCATTTACACTGGCCAGTGATGCATTGCTTCTTGCCCCTAAGCGTTTCTCAATCTGTGTTTTGTATCTAAAATACGCCTTTTTATCCATAATCTTTTAAGTTGTCTTTTTTTGCTAGCATTGCTTATAAAATCTCATTTTCTCCAAGAAATCTCTCTTGAAGCTTAGAAAAACAAAATTGGGGTAATATTTTCTAGGTAAATAGGCACAATTCTATAATACTATATTCCATGATTTGTATTAAATATAATATAAATATCGATACATAGTCTTTGTCTTTCAGAATAGGTATGTTATGTTCATATGTGTCAGGTTGGATCAGTATTTAAATTTTACTACTGACATAAACAAAGAGTTATTAGCAATTTTTAAAAGTTGCTGTGCAATTTGTCATATTTCATTGGGCTCCTTAATGACAAATATGTCCAAGATTATATTGAGAGATGCCATTTTCTGTGCTTTATCCCCAGATTTGGGAATGATACTTATTACAGCTTTCAGAATTTCAAGAAATAGTAGCACTACTTTTAACTAGACTAAAGTCTTTTGTTTTTCTTTTGTATCACTTTCTGGACATTTGTAAATTCACAGGATGTCTTCCTCAAATCACAAAATGCCTATCTTCTAATTCAATTGGGAGGTCAGATACTGGTTTAATTCTGGAGCCATATGAATATTGCCTGAGTTAGTGTTATAGCTGAATATCATGCAAATGTGGAAGAAGTCTATTGAATCAATGTCATTTTATACATGGAAATAAGCAAACAGTTGTAAATAATATGGAATATTAAAAATCTTTCCAGTAAACCAATGTTTATGCTTTTCAATTGTCTTGCTAAAGAAACATAGCTTCTTTAGCAAGATGTAATATACCATGATGGAAAATATTGTGCTGGAAATAAAGAAAATAACAAATTTTGGGTCTCAGCTTAGGTTATCAGTTACCTAGTCTTAAACAAATGATATATCACCAGTGAAATTTAGCTTTTAGACATCAGTAAAGTAAGAAAATAAGCCTTGTTTACCATGAAATTTGATGCAAAAATTAGGTAATATTTAACTGGACTTATAAAGGACTTATTTTTTCAAGAAACAATAAGAAAATGACCTGAAATAGTATAAGTTTTTATTCATAAGTAAAATTATTGCTAATTCACTTTACAATAGTCTACTTTTATTAATGGTGATCCTTGCATATTAAGACTTACAATCCTATTAATAATTGCTCACCTACAAATGACATTTGTCAAGGGATCAAAGTCTTCATGTACCACATAAAATATTATAACAAAGTAAACCAGCTGTATGCCTTTGATCACTACATCAATATCTAGATCGTTTAGTTTCTATTTCTGTTCCATTCTGCCAGCCAAGGGTCTTTATAAAAATACAAAGGAAAATGAACAGCTAGTAACACATTTGATGTGCCACTCTGATGAACTTCAGAATGCTTAATATCGTCTTGTTTAATTTCATGTTTCAAAAAGCTTCTCAATGGCAGGATCAATTACTTTCAATCTCCACATCAATCAGTCTAGATGGTTCTCATGATTTGCTAAGTATAGCTGCAAATTGAACTTTGTGAACCCACGATGCATATTGTGTTAATTCTTGATATGGAAGGATCCTTCTGCAGAATAAGCGGAGCTGAAAAAGGTGTGCTTACTTTCACAAACTGAATGTTATTTAAGGAATAAAAGGTATTCTTTAAAGTGTTAAATCCAGATGAACACTGAAAAATACAGTCTTCAGAAAAATCAAGTGATTTCACTTCTGTATTCATTGCTGAAATGAGAACATCATTTCATTTCTAATTCTAATTTGAATTTTGATTTAAGGTTAAAAACACTTTAGGATTGTTTTGTATTGCAGAATAATCTGTAACTTGTTCTGTAAACACTAGTTGCTAGGCTAAAACAGTGAGTTATATTTCTTTGTGTATGATACTATTCCTTTATTGTCAATTTTTCCTGAACTCACCAGTAGAATATATTTTAATTTGAATAATTTAAGAAGCAATGTCACCAATATGGATAGAACAATAATTTCACTTTTGTTGCTAATTTAATTAAGAAGGTGATTTTTAGCAATATCCATTTCTATTTGGTTGTGTTTTTATCTATTTCAATTATTTTCTATATTGGAAGTAATTATGAATTTTAATTTTCATACAGCTCTCTTATCTTTTACTTAAAAAATTTAATGTTTAATGAATTTGGAGGGAGGGCCAACCTTCATTCTTACATTTATTTATACATTCAATGGGAAAGCAGTACTATTCTCCTGAATGTTCAAACAAGCAATGGAAATTTGCAAGAGAGAAATAATTTAAAATTTTCATCACATTGTATTGAAATTTCTTCTTTGTTTCCATTTTTTCACCAGATCTTGAGTTCTTGAAGATGCATTGCCCATAGATGGTCTTCATTAATTTAAGCAATGTTTTCAGGGAAGTTATTCTGTGAATATGCCTGTAGGATTTAACTGGTCTTTGAATTATGGATATTATTTGGAAAGCTGGAGAGGAGAGTGAAGGACACTATATAGGTGGGCAAACATCTTGAAATTTTGAAACATTGTGTAATTATTTTACACATAACTGGCTGGACATGACCAACAGGTATAAGAATAGAATCTGTTGGTTGCTAAAACTATACATTTTTAGTTAATGTCCAACATGTACCAATAGATGCCACTGAAGATCTTCTATGAAGTTCCTCCTAAGAGTCATAACTGGTGAACACAGTTCATCCATGGGGAATACAGACTATAACTTACTAATGGATTTAGGAAGGAATCTACCTAGCATTTTTGGGAAAATGTGAATAAATCAACCTGATCAATGTGGTGGGTTCCTCTAGAAAATAGAAAAATAGGGTTAGGCTAAGTAATGTGGAGATTTGAGAAGATAGATCTGGGGTGATTGATAGAATATTAGATATAACAAAGGCAGTCTCTTCAACTTTACCAACTTTTTCTTGTCATTTGTGCTGGTGTCTATCAAATTGTATGTGACTGCTTGCTTTCAATATGGCAAATGCATCTTCAGAAACATTATAACTAAGATAACTTTTCCAATAGAGTGCAAAATGTGCATCTCTAGAAAGGTTTACTCAGAGAACTCTGGCAATACAATGCCACATACATGCAGCGTTATGATCTTTAGTTTGATTTCTCCTTCCCTTGACCCGAATAGGACTCTACAGTCAAGGAAGTTGAATGGAGAGGGAATTTGAGAAGTCAGGCTGTGTTTGTTAAAAGGGTTTTATGATGTCTTCTCTTTGAGAAAATATACCGGCTATTGTATTTTCCTTCCTTCCTTCCTTCCTTCCTTCCTTCCTTCCTTCCTTTATTGTAACTTCCTTCCTTCCTTCCCTCCTTCTTTCCCTGTTTCCTCCCTCCCTCCCTCCCTTCCAGCCTTCCTTCTTTCCTTCCTCCCTCCCTTCCTTCCTTCCTTCCTTCTCTCTCTCCTTCCTTAACTCCTTTCTTTCCTTCCATCCAGAATTATTTTTGAGAAACACTGTGATGTGTCAGTTGGTAGCACATTCTCTGGAGCTGGCTGCTTGGATTAAAATCATAACCCTTCCTCCTATTAGCTATGTGACCTTGAACAAGCTACTAGGCTATAAATTAGGACTAATAATGGCATCAATATGATCCTGCTATAGATTGAATTGTATGAGTTAATGTATGTGAAGCATTTTTATATGGTAAGAATTGGATAAAATACAGTTACTATTTTATTTATTGAACACTTCACATTTTTTAGCTTTTTATTTTGAAAAGATCATAGATCCATAGGGAGTTTCAAATACAGAGAGGTCTCGTGTACTATTCTACACAGTTTATTTCAAGAGTTACATCTTGTATAATTTAGTACAATATCAAGACCAGGCATTGACATTTATACAATGTGAATGCATAGGTCTATGCCAACTTTATCACATGTTGATTAATGTGACCATTATTACAATTAAGTTACAGAACTCTTCCATCACTAAAAGTGTCTTCCTCACATTTTATAGCCATATTCATCTCACATTCCCATACCATCACTAACCTCTGGAAATCACTAATCTGTTTTCTATATGTATGTTATTTTATTAAAGTTATATACATGAAATAATATGCCATGTGTCCTTTTGATATTTGCTTTTTTTCACTAAGCATAATGCCCTTCAGATCTATGCAAGTTATTGCATGTGTCAAAAGTATATTCTTTTTTATTTCTGGGTAGTATTTAATCATATGGATATACCACAGTTTATTCAACCATTCACCTGTCCAACATCTTGGATGTTTCCAGTTTTTCTCTGTTAGAATTAAAGGTGCTATGAAAGATATTAAAGATCGCATATAGGTTTTCATTTCTCTTAGATAAATTTCCAGGGGTGCAGTTGCTGGATCTTATTATAAATATATGTTTAGTTTTTAAAGAAACTAATAAATTATTTCCAGAGTATTATAACATTTTACAATTCAAATAATGTATGAATGATACAGTTTCTTCATCATTGCCAGCTTTTGTTGTCACTATTTTTATGTTTAGTTGTTTTAATAGGTGTGTAGTTACCTAGTATTTTGATAAGAGCTGAGGATACAAATTTGAGTTGATCAAGAAATCAAACAGAAAACAATCATTAAAGATTACAATAAAAATAAACAAAGTGAGGAGACTGCTAGTAACCAAGGAAGGAACTTTAATTAAGGTATTTCAGAAAACTTCTTAGCCAAGATTTCAAAGAACAATGATCTAATTTTACAAAAAGCCATCGAAAGCTTATTTTAGAAAGAAAGAGAAACAAGCACAAAATTCTAGAGGCAGAAAAAGGGTTGACATATACAAAGACTGTGGAAATAATTAAGAATGTTTTGGGTGTGATAAGAAAAGAAGGGAAGTGTATGACATGTGTTTGGAGAGGTAGGTAGAAAACATCAAGCCAGGATCTGTGGTCATTAAAAAGAAGTTGGAAATTTTTATTTATATTAGCAGAGGAAAGCCAATCAAGGAGTTAAAGCAGAAAGTAGGGAATGAAGAGTCAAGATCTTGTGTGCTTTAAAAAAAAAAAGCCACTCTGACTACCGTGAAAATAGAGCATTTAGGGAGGAGATGACAAGTGGGGAGGCAGATTTGCAATGCATTGTGGTATTCTGACAGAGAGATGGGTGTGGCTTTGAGAAGTGTTCACGGAAGAAATGGAAATCTTGGAAATGGAGAGTCATGGGGAAAAAAAGAACCTAGGTCGACCTCTAGGTTTTGGGCATGAGTCATACAGGCACAGTGTAGTACCATTTATTGAGATAAGAAAGCTGTTGAAGGAATTTTGTTTTGCTTTGTTTCAGTGTGAACATGTGCAGCAGTCAGCTTGATTTCAGACATACTAAATTTGAGTTTTCTGTTAGACACGCAGGAGATTTCAAATAGGAGATTGGATATATTAGCTAAAATATTGCATCTGCAAGTCTCTTTTTTCAACTGATCTTAGATGGACGGATAAATAAGATAAACCAGTTGAAGTCCAGTGGAAAAATATTCCATTAAAATAAGACCTATTTGGGCTTCTCTTATGATATTTTGCCCTTTCTTATCTCTGTGACTAGAGTGAATAATAATAATCAGAGATGCAGTTTTCTCACCTGTGCAATAGTAATATCTATTAGATATGCATAGTGTGGAAAATTAGGTAAACTCATTCATACAAAGTAACTCTGACATTGAAGGTTCTAAAATTAACAACATTTAGAATTTTAATCTTCCATCTAGTTTTACCATTTGGAGTATATAAGGAAACCTAGAAAGAAACCTTATATCCACTTGTCTATCCTATAATGTTTGCACATTATAGGGTATAATCTCAGGGCATAAATACAACTTTTTATAATTCCTATAGAGTGATACTCTTAGGCCAATATTACTGATCTTCAAAAGTGGGGTATTGAGGTATTTTACTTGGTTGTAAGCCATCAACGCGTTTTACAAATGTGATATTATGTTTTGATATTAGTAAAAAAAAGAAGCTTCAAAATGTCCTCTCTTTCTTTGAATGCAATCACAATCATTTCCTTTTTGAATTTTAAATATAAGTAACCTAAAACTTAATAACTTGCTCACAAGTCTAGAAGCAGACAAAATATCACCCACAAACCTGATTTATAATACTACTTTAAACTGACTTAAGATTTTAGACATTCATAAACATCTTTTAATCTATTCCCTTTTTGCATGGATATGTAAATATATACTCCAGGAGGTATAATTTTTGTAGTTATTGTAGCACTTTTGTAATGAAGAACTAAGTCTATTTTCACAGTGATAGAGAATTGAGTTGAGTTCTTTTGACCCTGGATGGATTTGTCTATTTTTTAAGGTGCTACTTAAAAACGTATAGGAGAAAATAAAAATAAATTATCTCTTTCATAAGTTAAAAATATTTTACATTTCAGCATTCTGAAAGCACAGAGGATTCAACAAAAATGATGGTTTAGAATCAAATACAATAAAGAAACATCAGCTTGAGATCAGACTCTCTGAGGAATGTTTTTTTTTCCTGATGAATCTGAGCCATTCAAGGTCCTTATAAATACATGAGAGCACCTTTGATTTTTGACTTTTTATAGTTAACAATTTCAGTTTGCTAATATAAAAGACCTCATGCCTTTTCATCCAGAAAACAGAGAACACTTTCTATTATGTAAGAGTATTATGTTTGAAGGAATATGTTTGCTTCAACTATGCATGCTATGGTACAGAAAGCAAAACCACCTCCTTGTAGGTCTAAATCCAAGGGGTTTTCAATGTATTTGGGTTAAGTCATGTTGTAAGGTTATAGCTCACTAAGATTTTTACAAGATGCATTATTAAACATGAATCTTCTGTAACGTGTACAGCATATCTTGTATAAAACAATGCAATATTTTCTTCTAAGTATGGGATGGCTTTGGTCACCCATGCTTAAAAAAACTTTGAAGAGACAATTCATCTTTTTCCTATGAAGCAATTTTTATTAACTGACATAATTCTTCAGCAGTCAAGCTATTACTGTCATTAGGTAGTCCTTTCCTTTATTCAGAAGCCCAAGAAGTTAGTAGAGGTTTGTATACTACGCACCTTTCACCAGAAAATAAAAAGGGAGAACTTTAAGTATTTGACATCATCAAAAATTAGGTGTTATGGTGCTATGCTTAAGTTTTGATATTATATATTAATTACATTTCCCTTAGTACTACCTCCTCTGAATTCTTGAGCTTGTCAGTAGTTGAAAACATTTGAACCTAAACCATTTTTGCACATTCAGAACTAAATGTCTGGGTAACTTGAGAATTAATACTCTACAACCTGTGATGGAGCAGGGAGCAGGGTCAGCTGTCCATTAGCATCTCTTGTGAGGTCTCTCCATTTTCATAAAGAGGCTTGAGAAAATCTCCAGATTTGCCTGAGGGTAGACACAAAGCAATGCTCAGTTATACTCAATGTTATCAACCTACTGGACTTGGTATAAAATACTTTTTGAGCACTGTATTGCCTATTAAAAAACAGTAAAGTGTAAAAGATAGTTCTTTAGACAAATAGGGCCACGGAAATGCCAAATCATTACTTTTGGTGTCTGTAATGCCTCACAAAGTTATAAACTTTTATGAATAATTTGCTAAGAAATTAGCTCTAATGACAGGTAGTTTATGTATATACCTTGATAACATCTACAGGTATCTTATGCACATGACATTATAGAAATATTTGTTTGGGTTTTTCTCAACCAGTCATTTTCTACACCATAATTCCAGCTCAGCCCACTCCACTTGCAGTTGCTTGCTCTCATCTTCTAACTCCTGTTTATTCTTCTCAATTTCTGCTGCAATGGCTTCAATTAACCTGCTCCTCTGTATCTTGTATGCTTTTTAGTTCACTGCTTATTTCCTTCTTCCTGCTGGAAAACTTGGCTAAATAACTCATATTAATATTTTAGCCTCATTTGGCTTTAAGATTATCTCATAAGGATATCCTATATAAATGGTAGTTAATATTTCTGAGCACCAACTTCCCTTACTCCAGCTTTCAGACTTCTTCCCATTGTTATGACAATTGAAGGCTTTTTAAATTCCTGTTTTAGGAGAAGTGGCCCAAAATTTGCCACAGATCTATGATGTTTTAATTAATACTGACCTCTGAATGATCTAGAAAATAATGGTAAACCATGTATACATATTTGTGTGTGCACATGTGTGCATGTATCCATAGCATCTGTGTGTGTGTACATTTTATAGATTGTCTTTGTATGAAGAAATATACTGAATATCCAAATAAGCATAATTTCTATACAAGTGAGGTATGTGGGTTAAAATCTAGTGAACAAAATATAACTATACATTCATGATTTGGAAACTTTTTAACATGATTCTTGAGGAATTACTCAATTGTTAATTGTTTCTGCCTTCTCTACCAAAATGACTAATATTTGGACTGAAAAGAAAAAAAGAGAACCTCGGTAAGGAAAAGTGGAATTTCTGTAGGTGGTAACTCTGGAATATCCCACCAAGAGAATGAATCAGATTAAAATAATGACTGTAGAAATTTCCTTGTTAGTGAATATTCAGCCTGGCTTTAAGGAAAATGTAGCTCTCTCTTACTGCTTTGTATCTTATTTCTTTTACTATGTCAATTCTCACCTTAGTAGAAATACTACTAGTTCTAGTACCATGGCTATCATAGATGCAACCATTATATTCCATTTAGTTTCTTCCTCAGGTTCCCTAACAATTGTTTGAAACTGAATATATATGTTTATGTGTGTGTGTGTTCACTTTCACGTATATGGTGTATATGGGATGTGTGCAGTTTTCAGTTTTATATATATTCATATACATACATGCATATATATGTATAATATACTTTCAAAAACTAGGAAAAGAAAACCAAAAGTCATTCTTGCAGTGTCTCTGATTGCACTGACTTGATGCAGAATTGGTGCATTAACATATGTATGCATTACATATGTATACTTGTGCCATGCTGGTGTGCTGCACCCATTAACTCAACATTTAGCCTTAGGCATATCTCCTAATGCTATCCCTCCCCGCTCTCCCCACCCCACAACAGTCCCCAGAGTGTGATGTTCCCCTTCCTGTGTCCGTGTGTTCTCATTGTTCAATTCCTACCTATGAGTGAGAACATGCGGTGTTTGGTTTTTTGTCCTTGCGATAGTTGACTGAGAATGATGAATTAAAATAAAAATGCATGCACTTTCAAATGTACTTAGTGCAACATATTGAACTTACATTCCAGTTTTCCTGGAATTACTTGTGTCTTGAGCTAAAGGCTGTATTTGGTATAACAGGGAAGGAAAGAAATTATTTTTCCTATAAAATTAGTTTAAAAACACATATAATTAAACAAAATAAAAATATTATCCCATCTTTTAAAGAACATTTACTAAGTCACAGATATTACCCGAAGTTTAGAAAATCACCTAAGAACAATTGTTTAAAAATTATTTAGGGAAAATGAAGCAAAATTGTTTTTACAATCTGAGATTTTAACAGCCAGTGCACTCCTGTTCTTCAGCTGAACGTCCCCTTCATTCTGAATGTCTGCAGTAGAATTGAATTGGGGAGCAGTTAGGTTCCAGGAACATATTCACTCCTGTTTTGTTCTCTCCCCAATCTCAGCCTTTCGGTGACTGTTTGGGCAAAGCCTCCCTTGTGGTAGAAGATGCCTCACTTCTGGGGAGAGGAGACTCCTCATCTTGCAGACAAGAAGCAGCACCCACTGGTTCCTGCTCCAAAAGCCATTAACATTATAAACTGGCCAGGTGCAGTGGCTCAAACCTGTAATCCCAGCACCATTTGGGATGTTAAGGCAGAAGGATTGCTTGAGCCCAGGAGTTTGAGAACAGCCTTGGCAACAAAGTGAGACCCAATCTCTACAAAAACTAGAGAAAAAATAGCTGGGTGTGGTGGCACTCACCTGTACTAAGGAGGCTGGGCTGAGAGGATCTCTTGAGCCCAGGTGGTTGAGGCTGCAGTGAGCCAAGATCACGCCTCTGCACTTGAGCTTGGGTGACAGAGTAAGACCCTATCTCAAAAAAAAAATTATAAACTGATTCACAATAACTTTGGTTTTGTCACTAATATGCTGAATATTTTTGTTACAACTAATATGCAAAATGCAAACTGGCTATCACTACCATTCTGATAATGGAATTAGCTGTCCTACATACCTGATGACCTAATGCTTAACCTAATCTTCCTCTTTCCCACTTTGATTTGGAAACTTGTTACAAAAGAGTTCTTTACCTCAAAGTCTTAAGGAATTCAAGACAAGACTAGAGTATGTTAAGACACCACAAAAAAAAATATATATATATATATATAGCAAGAGCTTTCTTGAGTAAGCAAATTTTATACATTTAAAAATAATTTACATGCAAATGACCAAGAGGAAAGGTTAAGTGACTCTGGTGTAAATAATTAGTTTACTGATTCTGCCAGAGCATATTAAGAAAAATTCACTTTGGCAAAATTATATGGATTTAAAGAAGTAACAAGTGGGTTTCTCTAAAGCACAGTTTGGCTTTTTACTAGAATATCAAGTCACTTTTTTGGGTGAGGAGAGCACAATGGGAGTGGGCAGCTGGTGCAAATAAACATTTAAAATTACTTAAAACTTCAACAAATGGGATCTGTATTTAAATCTGTTTTGGTCTGTCTTCCCTTTGTTTTTTCTAATCCATTCCAACAATGCAAACCTCAGCCACTGTCAAGGGCAATCTCAGACTGGAGGTTGCTGCCTAGGGTGAGATTCTAGCAAGACTGACAAGCAGAGCTCAGAGAAAAGTCTGCATGGGAAAACAGAACCAGACTTAGAAGGCATTGCTGATGAATTCCATTTTCTTACTACAGAAGAGCTAGCAAAAACTGCAATATGATTTGTAAAGTCAGTGTAATCTTATGGACATTATACCAAGTCACAACATGAGGCATGAGATACCTCAGATGTTGTTCCCTCTAAATCTCATGTTGAATTGTGATATCCCCAATGTTGGTGGTAGGTCTGGAGGGAGGTGATTGGATCATGGGGGTGAATTTCTCGGAAATGGTCTAGCATCCTGTCCCTGGTGCTGTCCTTGTGATAGTGAGTGAATTCTTGCAAGATCTATTTGTTTAAAGGGTGTGGTGCTTCCCCTGCCTTGCCAGGTGATGTGCCTGCCTACTCCTTCTTCATCTTCTGCCATGAATAAAGCCTCCTGAGGCCTCACCAGGAGCTAGGCAGATGCCAGAATCATGTTTGTACAGCCTGCAGCTATACAAGCCTCTTTTCAAACCTCTTTTCCTTATACATTACCCAGTCTCAGGTATTTCTTTATAGCAATGTAAGAATGGCCTAATACAGAAAATTGGTACTGAGACATGGGGCATTGCTATAAAGATACTTGAAAATATGGAAGTGACTTTGGAACTAGGTAATGAGCAGGAGTTGGAAGAGTTTGGAGGGCTCCTAATACAGGAAGATGAAGGAAAGTTCTGAATTTCTTAAAGACTAGTTAAATGGTTGTGACCAAAATGCTGATAGTGATATGGACAGTGAAGGATAGGCTGATGCGGTCTCAGATGAAAATGAGGAACTTACTGGGACTTGGAATAAAGGTCATGCCTGTTATGCCTTTGCAAAGAACTTGGCTGCAGTCTGTTCATGTACTAGGGATCTGAGGAAGTTTGAACACTCAGACGCAGGAGCAAAAAAATGACTTAAAGTTGGAATTTACAATTAAATGGGAAGCAGACCATACAAGTATAGAAAATTTGCAGCCTGCCCATTTGGCAAAGGAAGATAAAGCATTTTCAGGGGAAGAATCTAAACAGGCTGTGGAGCAACCACTTATTAGAGACATTTGCATAACTGAAAAAGAGCTAGGTGCTTATAGCCAAGACAATTAAAAAAAGGCCTTGAAGGCATTTCAGAAATCTTTGCAGCAGCTCATCCCAGCACAGACCTAGAGGTCTAGGATGAAAGAATGGTTTCTTGTGTAGTGGGATTTTAAAAATTAATTAATTAATTAATTTATTTATTTATTTATTTTGAGATGGAGTCTCACTCTGTCACCCAGGCTGGAGTGCAGTGGCACAATCTCAGCTCACTGCAAGCTCTGCCTCCCAGGACATGCCATTCTCCTGTCTCAGCCTCCCAAGTAGTTGGGACTGCAGGTGAGTGCCGCCATGCCTGGCTAATTTTTTGTATTTTTAGTAGAGACGGGTTTTCACTGTCTTAGCCATGATGGTCTCAATCTCCTGACCTCGTGATCTGCCCACCTCAGCCTCCCAAAGTGCTGGGATTACAGGCGTGAGCCACCATGCCCAGGCTGTAGCGGGATTTTTTAAGGAATCAGAGAGACTGATGGGGTTGAGGAGGATATTTATTATTTAGGTGCACCGGCCCAGTCAGATTAACATCCAAAGGACTGAGTCCTGAACAAAGACTTAAGTTAACTTTTAAGCATTTTGTGGGGTGGTGGAGAGTGGGGAGATCTGTGCAGGGGGAAGCATATTACAGAAGTGAGAAACAAAGACAGTTATTCAATTAATTGAGACATGCATTATATCATTTCTTATTTTTCAAGGAAAAACATGTTTTACGACTTGAGTTTATCTGTCTAGTGACCTTGCAGCTGCACAGCTAGGGAAACAGCATCTTCACAATGCCTGGGAAAGGAGGAGAGATGAAGCTCACTAGCCACAGAAAAACAGGCAGTTAATTTTTAAAGGGCTCCAGCTCTTTCTCTTTCTCAGGGGGAATTGGGTTTTCTCACATACAACTGAGTTTCTGCTTACACATTCTTTAATTTCTTTTAATTCCTGTTCCACTTGGACCAGGGCCAGGGCATCACTGTCCTGTACCACCCCCAGGAGGGTGTTCCTTGCATCCTGGCCCTTCTAGCTCCAGCCTTGGTTCAAAGGGCTGCAGATAGAGCTCAGGTCATGGCTTCAGAGGGTGCAAACTATAAGCCTTGGTGCCATGTGGTGTTAAGCCTGCAGGTGAGCAAAGTGCAAGAGTGAAGGAGGCTTGGCATTCCCTGCCTAAATTTCAGAGGATGTATGAGAAAGGCTGGATGCCCAGGGAGAAGACTATGCACGACTGGAGCTCTCAAAGAGGACCTCTTCTAGGACAGTGCCAAGTGGAAATGTGGGGTTGGAGGCCCCACTCGGGGTCCTGACTAGGGGGGCTGCCTAGTGGAGCTGTGGGAGGGGGGCTGCTGCCCTCCAGATCCCAGAATGATAGAGCCACCAGCAGCTCATGCCTTCAGAGTAGAAGAGCTGTGGGGGCAGAGCAGCCCAAAGCCTTGGGAGCCCACCCTATGCATCATGGGAATGCTCTATGTTCCCAGGATGTGGGACATGGTTTCAAAGGAGATTATTTTGGAACATTGAGTTTTACTGACTGCCCTGCTGGGATTTGAACTCGTGTGGGGCCTGTAGCCCCTTTCTTTTGGCCAATTTCTCTCTTTTGTAATGGGAATGTTTACCCAATGTCTGTACCCCAGTTTTATCTTAGAAGTAAATAACTTGTTTTGATTTTACAGGCGCATCAGTGGAAGGGACTTGCCTTGTCTCAGAAGAAACTGCCCTTTTGAGTGATGCCGAAACAGGTTGAGACTTTTGGGGGACTATTGAGAAGGGATGATTGTATTTTGCAATGTGAGAAGAACATGAGATTTGAAGGGTCAGGGATGGAATGAAATAGTTTGGATGTTGTCCCCTTTAAGTCTCATGTCGAATTGTAATTCCCAGTGTTGGAGTCGGGGTCTGGTGGGAGGTGATGGGGTCATGAGGGCTGATTTCTCATGTTTAGCAACATCCTCTTGGCACTGTCCTTGCAAGAGTGAGTGAGTTCTCATTACATCTGGCTGTTTAAAAGTGTGTGGCACCTCTCCCTGCTTGCTCCTGCTCTGGCCATGTGACATACCTTCTTTTGCTTCATCTTCTGCCATGTGTAAAAGCTCCCTGAGGACCCTTCTTGAAGCCAAGCAACTGCCAATGCAAAGCTTCCTGTACAGCCTGCAGAACTGTGAGCCAAGTCAATCTTTTTTTTCAGTATAAATTATGTAGTGCTTAGGTATTCCTTTATAGTAATGCAAGAATGCCATAATACAAGGCATAATGGTTTGCATTTTAAAAATGAAAATTAAATTTTTGTAATTTATCATGAAAAGATGAAATGAGTTAATAATGAGCAATATCTACATGTTGTCTTAGAGGTGCTGACAATCTGTCAAGGAATTACATGCATTGATCAAGCAGTTTACCTTCAAGTTGAATAACAAGATATTCCTATCTAACATAACAAAATTTTGACATTATTTGGGAGACTGGAAATAATGCTAAATAATATCAGATTGTCAAAGTCAAATAAATATAGAGACAAACATCTGAAATTAAAATGTTTTATTTGAGATACAAGTATTACAGTTTCACACATACATGCAGAATGGGTGTCTTTAGTATGTCCAAAACATAAAGAGAAAGTTAGAGGTTTTATAAAAAAGGGAGACAGAGAGAAAAACGGTATGTATTTCTCTTTGAGAAAGTTCACTGGCACCAGTAAGGTTTTTGAGAGCTGGCAGGCTCTGATAGGTGAGGGACAGTGGTGGGTAAAGCTAGTCTTAGTGTTCAAGAGGTTGTTTCAGTAACCATTTGATAAAACTGGTTTCAGCTTAAAGCAGGTAATTTCAGCAGCCAGGCATGCAGAGAATTACGCTTTTGGAGTGGTGTTTTTGCCCTGAATGCCTCCTCCCCCTGGCTTGTTGATGGTTTTATTTGGTGTGATAAGAATGACCCAATTCATATGATCAATTTTTACATTTACCCCTTTCCATCAAGATCTTTCTCTTAAAGCATCAACCATGTTTATAGTTGTACAACAACCACAAGTTAGGTTTAATCATCCCTTAGTGCTAGGATGGACCTGTCCCAGTTGCTCCGTCCCACATCTGGGAAAGGTATGGAGGTCTACATCAGGTCTATGTCAAGATTTATGGCTTAAAATGTCTATCCAAGGAAAAAATAAAACTGACCAGTAATCCCAGGAGAGAAACATACCTTGGCAAATTCTAAGATATTTCTAATTTTATTTAACAATTTTAAAATTAATTAATGTATCAAAGATTCACCTAACTCATGTCAAATAAAATATGTTTGCACTAATTAATATATATTTTATATGAACATTCCTTTATTTAAACCATCCTTTTTTCCTAGAGTGATGGATTAGGGGCTTTCAGTGTGCCTCAGCCACTTGGAAGTAGAAAAATAAGCATAAAGATAAACTTTGTGAGCTTCAATTCAAGAAGAAAAATAGGAATTCACAGGAATAGAGAAGAACACTCCAGACCCTGTGGAGGGGGAGGTGGGAAAGCAGACTCTGTGATAGCATTTGGTTCATAAAAGGGAGTGAAACTCCAGTACGAGACAAGAGCAGCCAGTCTCCCTCTGCAACTCACCTTTTCACTGGGGATCTGTGCAATCCAGATTAAGGGAGAGCACTCTGTGTCTCCCAAGCCTTGGAGCTAGCACAAAAGTGGCTGAGAGATGGGGAAAGAGGAAAGACACTCAGAAAAGCTGCAGGCATTTCCCCAGACCTGGGACTGAGAGAAGGATGCCCTTTTTAATCTGGGCTCATACAAAGTCAATCATTTTTTGGTGCCTGGCAATGGTGGCCACTGCAGACACTTTAATCTTGGGCTAGGAATTGGAGTGCTTTCTCTGGAGCAGGGGAGCAGCCTCAACAGCCAGAATTGAGTGTTGAGTGTGGAAAGTGCCCCAGCAGTAAGTGTTGGAATTAGGCTCTCTCCTCTTGCAGGACTGTAGTGGGAAGAGAGTTGCTAAAGCAGAGGTTTCTCAAGGATGGTGAGACTTGCAGCCAAGAACAGCTTTGCAACCTGGAACTGGTCTGTGTGTGTCATTGCTGGGTGTCTCAGCCTGCTCCCTTGGTCAGTTGAGAGAGTACTCCATCAGCTCCAAGAAACAAGAGGGAGGTGAACCCCATCCCCCAGGAGACCTAAACTTTGGTGAGGACCAGCCCTAAGGGAAGGAGGAATACAGCTTGCCAAAGCCACCCCTTGGGTCAAAGGAAACACGATCACTATATCAGCTGCTGAAAGGGGCACACCAAAGCCTGGGAACAGATTCAGAGAGGTGGTCATCTCTTGTCCTCTGTCCCCTTCCTAGTGCACTGCTGCAGATCCAGCAGTGGTCATCCTGTTGGGGCCCAAGGAACGTGGGCTGAATGAGGCTGCTTCTTAGGTTTCTCCAGCAGCTCTGCCCCTGCTGAAGACTAGTACACACTGGGACAGGGCACTTTTGGCATTTTGTCACTTCTGCACCTGTCGAGGACAAGTACACAGAGGAGAAGACCCTGCAGCCAGCTGTTACTCTTAAGCACTGTCTACTGGACTGAAGCCTGAATTACACCACCAAACAAAAATACATCACCACACCAAGCCACCACAGGAGCCTATCTGCAACCAAGGAGCTTGTACAGAGCCTTGGTCCTCTGAAAGTACCCAGAAATGAAGCAAAATGATCCTATACAACATAGACCACAGTCATACCCTTAAGAGAAAGAAAGAATGAAAAATTAAAAAAAAAAAACTCCTTCCAAATGATAGCAAATTCAACAAAGGAAGCATCAAGTCTCTCAGATGAGAAGAAACCATCACAAGAACTCTGGCAATACAAAAAGCCAGAATGTTCCATCTCCTCCAAAGGATTACACCAGCAATCTAGCAATGAGTCCTAACCAGAATGGAACGTCTGAAATGACAGGTATAGTATTCAAGACATAAGTGGCCAAAAAAATCACCAAAATCCAACAGAAAGTTGAAATCCAACAGCAACCCCATAACAATGATCCTGGATTTGAATGACAACATAGCCATATTGAGAAAGAACCAAGCAGAGCTTCTTGCATTGAAAAATTTACTACAGGAATTTCAAAAAACAGTTCGCAGCCTTAGCAACAGACTAGACCAAATAGAAGAAATAATAAGAGCTCAAAGAGCAGAACTTTGAATCAACCCAGTCAGACAAAAATAAAAAAAGAATTTAAAAATAATGAACCAAACTTTTGAGAAATGTAGGATTATGTAAAGGAACAAAATCTATGACTTATTGGCATTCTTTTTTGAGACAGAATCTCACTCTGTTACCCAGTCTGTAGTGCAGTGGCATGATCTTGGCTCACTGAAACCTCCACCTCCTGGGTTCAAGCAATTCTTGTGCCTCAGCCTCCCAAGTATCTGAGATTACAGGTGTGTGCCAGCATGCCTCGCTAATTTTTGTATTTTTAGTAAAGATGGGGTTTCACCATGCAGGCCAGTTAGGTCTCAAACTTCTGGCCTCGGGTGATCCTCCCACCTTGGCCTCCCAAAGTGCTGGGATTACTGGCATGAGCCACTGTGCCCGGCTGACTTACTGGCATTTCTAACAGAGAAGAATAGAAAGTGAGCAACTTGGAAAACGTTTTTGAGGATATAATTCAGGAAACTGTCCTCAATCTTGCTAAAGAGGTCCACATGCTGATACAAGAACTCCAGAGAACTCCCGTGAGACTGAAGGTAGGCAGTGAAGCAAATGCTTGCATTCTTGTGTGGCTCTGATTAGCATCAGGATATCTACATTTTACATAGGAAAGGAGGGAGCAGAGGAAACAGTTATGCGTTCCTCTCACATTCAGTAAATCTCCATTTTACATAAGATAAAGTAAGCATGTGAATAGAGGGAGTGGAGTAGAGGAAAACTCAATGATTCATTCATCTCAGGATAGGCAGAGGGATGATTTCTGGTCCTGACCTTGTCCCAGAACTATGAAAATAAGCTGGTAATTGAGATTGTCAGGGTGAAATTGAGCCGACTCACTTTTAGGGATAGTTTACAGGTGGGATGTGCATTCTGAAAGATTTAGGGGTTCACAGCAAATTGTGAGGGAGGACATCTGAGGAGACATGCGGCCTTCTGTCACTGTGGGAACCTGGCTTATGGATGAGGCTATGACACAGGGTTGTGAAGTTATAGCTATGTGTTTGAGAACAAGGAAGGCAGTATTGCATAACTCAGTTCCCAAGCTTAATTTTCCCTTTGACACAGTGAGCTTGGGGTTGGGGTCTCTATTCTCTTTTCTCTCACAAAATCATATGGGAACATTCCAGAAAATGTGAGGTTCTGTGCTCACTATTAAATAAAAATGACCAGGAGAGCCATGGGTAAGCTCCCTCCTCAGTCATCAGGACCCCAACAGAGAGTTTTCCCCTGTGTGAACAGGGTCCTGAATTCTGCAGGATCCCATGGGGACACAAGTGTCAGGATAGAGGCACTCATTCAGCCAGGTACAGTGTCTCCTGCCTGTAATGTCAGCTACACTGGAGGCTGAGGTCACCTTCAGGCCAGGATTTCAAGACCAGCCTGGGCAACATAGCAAGATCCCATATCTAAGAATAAAATTAGCTGGGTGTGGTGGCATGCACCTGTAATCCTAGTTACTTGGAAGAGAGGCTGAGGTGGGAGGATTGCTTGAGCCTAGGCGTTGGAGGCTACAACGAGCTAGGATTACACCACTGCACTCCAGTCTCGGCAACAGTAAGACTCCATATGTGACAACAACCAACCTATCCTGTGTTTTGAGTGTAAATTACCATAGCCTTTGTAACAGAAATTAGGCAGCAACTCTTATCATTCAAAATGCATAAGAAATTTGGCTAAGCAATTGTACTTCTAGATTATTTATTTATTTATTTATTATTGGGACAGAGTCTCACTCTGTCCCCCAGACTGGAGTGCAGTGACAGGATCTCAGCTCACTGCAACCTCTGCCTCGTGGGTTCAGGCAATTGTCCTACCTCAGCCTCCTGAGTAGCTGGGGCTACACGTGCACATCACCATACCCAGCTAATTTTTGTATTTTTTGTAGAAACGGGGTTTTGCCATGTTGGCCAGGCTGGTCTCAAAACTTCCGACCTCAGGTGATCCACCCACCTCGACCTCCCAAAGTGCTGGGATTACAGGCACTAGGTCCCTAATTTAGAGCCACATTGTTTAATGTCTAAAACCACTCTTGCATATTTATTACTGCATTGTTTGAACTTAAATATCCACAACAGGATAACAGGATAATTAAACAGTTAATTGCACTATGGCATATCCATCTGTTAACAAAATGAAGTTGATCTTTTTGTACTGTGGTGGAAAGATTTTCTGAACATAGTTCAGGTAAAAAAATGACCACTGTTGAATAATGCTTCTGGTATAACACAAAGTGTTTGAAAATGTACACAATACACTGTAATATCCAATGCATACATCAAAGTAAATATATTTTATTCTAGGATAATTATTAAAACATTAAGAAATACTCTTTAATCATATATGTTAAAACTTGTAGAAAATCAATAACATACAAGTAAAGAAGTTCAAGAAGCCAAAAAAAGTAATTCCAAGTGTAGAAAGCATGGTGAAAAGTGATGGAAGAAAAGTGCAGAAATTTAAAATGTGAAATTAAAATATATAATTATTAATTAAAAAACATAATTCTTAATTAAAATACATAATTCTTCATTGAACCCCGAATCTGTCATATGTGTGATCTTGGATAACGCATTCAACCTCCTGAACACTGAATTTTCTTGACTGTAAAACGTTTTAGAGAGGTTCCTCACCTGGTTGCATGAAGCAAACCTCTGTGTGTTAAGGCACTTCCCACAGCATCTGCGACGCAGAACAGTGGAAGCTGTGCTCTTCGTAGTCCCTGAACACAGACCCACAGCAGTATATTGTGTGTGTTTTTTTTTATATAAAAGGCTTTGAAAATGTCCCACAACTTCCTCAGTAACTGTCAAAAGGGGCAGACTTCAAAAGTAGAATTCTGGCAAATGTCTTCAAAAGACACAAAATTCTGGCAATGGGCTCATTTCCCTCCCACCTTGCTCTTCTGGATGCATCCATTCTCTCCCACAGCATAGTCATTTTCTTCCACTCCGTTGTAGAAATTGTCCTTCTAGTGGCAAGAGTGACGTGAGTGATATGCGGAAATTTCTTTCCAAGCTTGTTGGAGAAGCTTCCTCTGCCTGCTTCTTTTTGGCCACCTCCTGCCAGGGTAAGAGCAGAGGGCCTCCAGGGCTGCTCTGTCACCCCCAACAGCATGGACCTCACTGCAGTCACTCCGGAAGCTTCCCTCTAAAGGAAGCTTGTGCAGGAAACATCATGCATCGAGCAGCATGGGGACAGGGGCTGGCCAGCTGGGTAGGTCTCACACTCCTGACACTGAGACTCCAGGATACTCCTCTGTCCCCACCCAGGGCAGATCCCTGCCCTAAAATTTTTCCCCCTCATGTCCAGCAAATGCTGCATGGAGCCCTGGATTTCTACGTGGAAAGCTAGGAAGAGGGAGAGCTGAAATGAGGATGTAATCACCCTTTCCAAAGAGGTCAGTCCAGTACTACCCTGTGCTCCTGGGCAAGCTCTCCAGGCTGAGGTAACAGGAGCAGGGGTTATGTCAGGTGAAGGTTGAAGTGAGAGACCTCCCAGGAGGTGTAGAATATTCCACTAGGGACACCTCATACCTTTCCAGGATTAGACCTTGAGGCCTGGAGATCCCCAGGCAATTAGTATTGAAGGTCGAAAGGCCAATGACAGGAATAGGAAAGCCCACTGTGTAATTCACAAAGCACTTCCAAACCCATCACCACAGGTGACCCTCACAACAACCCTGTGAGACCTGCAGGGCAGGGGCTCTCACAAAGGAGGAGTCGGGAATGTCAAGATTTTAACACCTTCTCCAAGTCAGGATCAGGAAAGGCTGTCCCAGCACTGACCTATATTCCCTATGCTTCCTCCCACAAAACAGCTTAGGGTGACTGCCAACTTGTGGGCAGAGACCCTCACTTCCAATCCCCACAAGGGGCTGGGCAGTGGGGAGGATGAGGCCCCCTCCTCTGACTGTCACCTCCAAGACCCTGTTTTCTGAGGAAGGTCACTCTGGGAACTGTTGGCCTCTGCAGATGAGGGCCTGGACCATGTGGAAAGACGATGTGAAGGTCACACCTGGCAGGCACCAGCACTGGAGGGCAAACCTCACCTTTAAAACTCACAGTTTTTTTAAAAATTTATTTCTATTTTTAATTTATATGAGTACATGGTAGGTGTATATATTTATGGGGTACATGAGATAGTTTGACACAGGCATACAATGTGTGATAATCACATCAGGGTAAATGGGGCATTCATCACCTCAAGCAAGGAAAATGCCAGATGCTTATAAAACCATCAGATCACATGAGAACTCACTATCATGAGAACAGCATGTGGGAAACTGCCGCCATGATTCAGTTACCTCTCACTGGGCCACTCCCATGACACATGAGGATTATTGAAATTACAGTTCAAGATGAGATTTGGGTGGCAACACAGCCAAATCATATCACCTTATAAAATGAATAATGTGGAAATAGCAGCAGGCCTGAGTCCTGACCCCTGCAGTGTGATGCCCCCTCTTGAGGAGGGCCTGGCTTCTGTGCCACGCAGAAACTTTCCTGTGCTTCCTGCTGGCTTGGGGTGAGCCAGGTCCTCCTGGGGGAGCTGGGCACTTGTGGGACAGGAGAGTCCCTGGCCTGGGGTCTCCATTTGCCTCCTTATCCCATCAACAAAACACCAGAGGAGCCAACTCAACAAACCTCAATGCACGGCACTTCCTGGACCCTAGGTGCTCAGGGCCCCCTGAGCTACCCTGGGGCAGAACACTGGGCAGTGGCCAGTGCTTCCCCAACAACTCCCCCATGCACAGATGCCTGGTGGACATACTTCCCTTAACCCTGCTCAGCTGGAGCTCAGCCCCTATCCTAGTACCTCTGCCTCCTCCTCCAGGGCAGGAAAAGGAAACCCAACTCCAAACCCGTGGAGAATCCTCATCTTGGGTGAGGCCCTGGCTGGGACTCAGCCCCTTGTCAGGCCCTCGAGGAGCTCCATCTTCCCTTGTTTCCCTGCCCCATGGGACCCTGGGCCTCTGGGAAAGAGTTGAGGGTGTCATCTACTCAGCAGGTACCGCATGATCTTTGGGAAAGATTTGTGTTATACCTGCTCCTGGTGGGATAGGAACCTCTGGAGCTGGGCAGTATTTGGGCTGTAGAAAAGTGAGAAGCCCCTGACCCATCATGCATCAGAGCCCACTCCCAAGATGTGGAGCCATCAGCTGGAAGAGCTGGGCAGTGGCAGGGGACCCCGGACCCTGAGGCCTTCCTCCCTTCCATCAGGTGACCCTACCATGTGGTCTCAGCTCTAGGGAGATGGGCCCTAGCTGGAGGCACTGCACAGCAGCATCCTGGGTAAAGGTGCCAGGAGGGCAGGCCTGCCTTTGAGGCTGTGAGGCAGGGCTGAGGCAGGCAGTGGCCAGTGGAGGGAACCGGGTGGGTGCTGAAGGACTACATGGCCATCTCCTGCACATGGAGTCTGGCTAGGGGACATGGGATGGGCAGACACTGCCATGTTGACTTCATTGGCCCATCTGTGGGCTAGAGGGGCAGCTGGGAGTGTGGCCAGCTGGGAGGTAGGAGGACTCTTGGGGAAGTGAGAGTCACCTGCATGAACTCAGGGCTAGAGGGCTGCGGCTCTGGGACACACAGGGTGGCCGGGGGAACTGCAGCGCCCTCTGCTGTTGGAAATGAAAGTTGTCTGCCTTGAAGTGAAAGGGTCCCTGTTCAGCTCTGGGCCCCTGTGGGACCCTCAGCAGGGATGTCCTGAAGTCTCCTAACAAGCTGGAAAGCAAGGAAGATGCCTTGCCTGGAAGTCAGGATCGCCCAGGCAGGGTGGCTGTCCCATGGCCTGGCTGTGTGAGTCCCTGGGGGTAGCTGTCCACCTACACTGCAGGGAGTGCCTCTCCTCGGCCATCAGCTGATTCAGTGCCCAGAAGGTGTCTTCCTCTGGCAGATACAGGAGGAGGATGGCAGTTAGGCAGCTCATGTCCCTGTAGTAGCCCACCTCCTGCAAGAGCCAGAGTCACCATGGAAGCATGTCACCTGAGAGGGCTGAGGCCATCTGGGAGGACTCATGTCACTGGAGAGGACAGAGGTCACCTGGGAGACCTCCCTTAGGCCCTAGGGGATTTAGGGTGCAGACTCTGCACCCCTCCCCTGACCCTGGGCATGAGGACTAAGCAAGTCCCCCACAACTCAGTTGAAAAGGGACCTGGAGGGACTTCTGCAGTGAGTGTCCAACCTCACATGGTCTGAAGGGGCACAGGCAAGAATCATTCATATCCCCTATCCTGGGCCAGGCTGGGAAAGCCAGTGTGCCAGGACTGGGGCAGCACCTGTGAACTGCACCAACCACAAGGGCAGGTGGTGGGCTACTGATCACCACACAGTGGGTCTTGTGATGGCCCAGGGGCTGCCTGCCAGGCACAAGAGGGCGGCTGGGTCCAGACCACATGTGAGCAGCCCATGGAGTCATCTCAGCCGCTCTCCCTGGCTGGAAGGGTCTGGGAAGTGGGGACCAAGCAGGAACAGCCACCTGGTTGACCTCCTCCCTGTCTACTGTGCTCCTACGGGGTTAAGGCAAAGGGGAAATTGGATCCTTGCCAGGTTTCCAATAAACAGGCTTCCTCAGGATGCAAACTCATTTCATGAAAAGAGCCTGGCCCCATCAGGCACCTCAGCAACTTGTCAAACAGGTCTCCTGCAAGGACTATCCTGTGTGCAACACTGCTAAGCTCCTTGTTTGGGGCGGCACCAGGAGGGGAGGGTCATTTCTTCTTCTGAGACATGGTGGTTGAGTCCAGGCGACATCAACAGTCTGGGCCCTGACCCCTTTCCATCTCAGCGGGACCCCTTGAGACACCAGCTTCCCTTCCTTGCTTGGGTGTCCACGCCAGCAGTTCTACCTACTACGTTATTACAGCCAGATCGGGATAAATGTCCTCTCTCTGGAATAAATGCAACGACCACTGTTCTTTGAGCATTATTTATCTTAAATTATTGTTTTAATTAAAAATGTATCTCACTTATATTAGCCAAATTTCCTTTCAATGTAACCAAATTTCTTTTAAGTGAAAATTAAATATTTACCTTCATCAAGCATTCTATGAATATAAAATGTTTATTTTTTTCAACTTTAGAAGAAATTGAAAATGTCTACATGCTACTAATCTAAAAAACAGGCTCTGGGTTTATATGGTGTTAACCTTTCTTCCAAATTTTAAGGAATAGATATTTAAATGCCATCCACTTTGTTTTAAAATACATAAAATGTTTTAAGCTTTTGACCTCAAAATTTACAGTGGCACAGCTACTCCGTAATGAGTAAACCACAGAATCAAAACAAAGAAGGATTCTACAGACCAGTCTAACCAACAATACAATTATAAACTAGTGGTTCAAATATCAAAAACCAATTTCAATGACAAATGCATGGTATGAAAACCCCGCAAATGTCAAGTAGAATATATTATACTTGAATGAAATTATGAGTTGAGAGTAGGAAATCTATGTGTAACCAAGCAAATTAAATAAAGTTTATGAGGAAATTATACTGCTAATATTTTATTATTTGGCAAGCTATTCAGTGGAACACAAAGATATTCTTAATGAAGTCGAAAATATATTTTAAAATGTGACTGAAGTGGATTAAAAAATAATGAGGATATGAATAACTTTAAAAAATATTCAGGGATAAAGAGAGAAAAATAAATTTAGATTTCATACATACATAAAATATATTTAAAAAGTTGTGTTTTTTGGTTGCTTGAATAAAAGGAGCAGATATTTAAATTCCATGCCTTTCATTTTAAAGTTTAGGAAATGCTTATAGCTTTCCACACTGACATTTATACTAACACAGTTAATCTAATCGAGGGATAACAAAATCAAAACAAGCAGAATTCTCTTGACCAATCTATTTTCTTGATTTTTAAAAGTCAGTGTACTCTCAAAGAAACAAAACTATTATTCATGGATTCTGTTATTTGAAAATATTTACTGATCATTTTTACTTTACACCAAGTGATCTCCAGCTCGTGGAAAAATATGTAAAGTTGCCCAGCTTCATTAAGCTTAAACTCTTCTGAAGGAGAAAAGAAGCAATGGAGTAGGGACATTAAAGGAGGAGTGTGGTGATACGGCTGAGACTTCTACTTGCACACTGTGGTAGCTGTGTGGAGACTGGATTGAAAAAAGGGCAATGACAGAAGCTTAAATTAGTATCAAATATGGCAATCTTATAATTTTAAGGGTCCTTGAAATAAGAATGTATAATAGTTCTCATTATTTCCTCAAGAAATCTCTGCACTTGGCCTTGTGAAGGAAGCGCTATAGTTACCAAGTGGTGGGGGTGGGAATGTGAATTTGGAAACAACATTTGGAATTATTACACTTTAAAGGTAAAGCTGGCAGGAATTCCATACACATCAGATCTGAAAATGTGTGTGTGTGTGTGTGTGTGTCTGTCTGTGTGTGTTTGTGTGTGTGTGAAGCAGGGAAAGAGAGCAAGAGTGAGAGTGAGCAAGAGAGGAGAGAGAGGGAGAGAATCAGACAGGTACAGGAAGAGAGTGACAGAGCTACAGAGACAGAATTAAAAGGGGACACCAAGAATATTGAGCAGAGAAACTATAAAATGGGAGTTGCCATTAAACAGAATGGGGAAGAGCAACTTTGGGGAGTTTCAGTGGCTCCATACAGACATATTAATTTTGAGATTCCTAACTGACATCCACGTGGATAAGTCAGGGAGTGTTGGGTGTAGTGTCCAGTGTTTAGGTGTAATATGAAATATCAGGAAATTAATGACACAAAAATTAGTAAGAAAGCAAAGATAAGAAAGATAAGAAGTGAATGTCCTGAGCCTAATGGTCCTCTAACATTTAAAAAATAGTAAAGATGAAACCTGCAAAAAAGGACTAGGGGTAATTATCAAAAACGTGGTGGGGGGAAAGTAAGTTAAGTGTTCTGGAATTCTATAAAAAAGTTTTACAAAGAGAAGGTGGAGATTGACTGTGTGAAATGCTGCTGATATATAAATTAAGATGAAGGCTGAGAAGTTATGGTTCAATTTATAATTTAACAATATGGATAGCACTTATATTTTGATATGAGCAGCTCGTTGGAATGAGTAGGTGAGAAACCATATTGGAGTGGTTGCTGAGATGAAAGTCTGATCCCTGGATTCTTAAGGAAAAATTTTATTGGACTGCAGAGGCATAAATTGGATTTTTAATTCTGGAGTCAGCATGTGCTCAGTAAACATGTGCCCATCAATGTCTCCTCGCATTTTTTTTAGCTAGGTATTCTGTCATCTTTTAATAATATAATAATTACCTGCAAAACCTACACCCACGTTGCAGCAAACCACCATGACACATATATACCTGTGTAACAAAACTGCATGTTCTGCACATTTATCCCAGAACTTAAAGTAGAGAGAGAGAGAGAGAGAGAGAGAGAGAGAGAGAGAAAGAAAACCCAGCCAAGTGCGGTGGCTCATGACTGTAATCCCAGCGCTTTAGGAGGCTGAGACAGGTGGACCATCTGAGGTCAGGATTGAGAACAGCCTGGCCAATATGGTGAAACCCTGTCTTTACTAAACATATAAAAATTAGCTGGGTGTGGTGGGGGGCACCTGTAGTCCCAGCTACTTGAGAGGCCAAGGCAGGAGAATCACTTGAACCTGGAAGGCAAAGACTGCAGTGAGCTAAGATCACGCAGCAGCACTACAGCCTGGGTGACAGGGTGAGATGGTCTCAAAAGGAAAAACAAAAACAAAAAAACACCCATTTAATTGACAAACTTTACAAAGACTGATACTAGAGGTTGTTGGAGAGGATGTTGTTCCACATATCTTATGAGTTACCGATGGACAAGTAAGATGGTAAAATGCCTTTGAAAAACTGACCATACCTGCTATACTTAAATATTCAGATACCAAACACCCAGAAATTCCATCTTGTCATTTATTTCCACAAGAAAAAACAAGAGACCTGTATTAAAATATCCATTTCTATTAAAAATAATCACACTAGGTTTCCTGAATTTTTTTTATTGGTAGCTCTTGTTTTCAGCAGTACAACTTCTAATATATATGTGTATATATATTTAATATATGTATATATGTATATATATTAGACTGATATATATGTATATATGTATATATATTAGACTGATATATATGTATATTATACATATGCATATATTATATATTATGTATATATGTATATTATACATATGCATATATTATATATTATGTATATATGTATATTATACATATGCATATATTATATATTATGTATATATGTATATATACACACATATGTATATATGTTATATATATCACATATGTATATATGTTATATATATCACATATGTATATATGTTATATATATCACATATGTATATATGATATATGTACACATATGTATATATGTTATATGTGTACATATATGTATATGTGTTATATGTGTGCACATGTATATATGTTATATATGTACACATGTGTGTATATGTTATATATACACGTGTGTATATGTTATATATACACGTGTGTATATGTTATATATACACGTGTGTATATGTTATATATACACGCGTGTATGTTATATATACACGCGTGTATATGTTATATATACACACGCGTGTATATGTTATATATACACACGCGTGTATATGTTATATATACACACGCGTACATATGTTATATATACACACGTGTACATATGTTATATATACACACATATGTACATATGTTATATATACACACATATGTACATATGTTATATATACACACATATGTATATATGTATCTATACATAATATATGTATATATATTAGGCAGAGTTTTGCTCTTGTTGCCCAGGCTGGAGTGCAATGGTGCAATCTTGGCTCACTGCCACCTCCACTTCCCGGATTCAAGCGATTGTCCTGCCTCTGCCTCCCGAGTAGCTGGGACTACAGGCTTGTGCCACCACCCTCGGCTAATTTTGTACTTTTAGTAGAGATGGGGTTTCACCATGTTAGTCAGGCTGGTCTCGAGCTCCTGACCTCAGGTGATCCACCTATCTTGGACTCCCAAAGTGCTGGGATTACAGGTGTGAGCCACTGTGCCCGGCCTATTTGTATTTTTTAATCTACCACACTCTAAGAACACATATTTTAAATCAATTTCTACATTCAGTGCCTAGAACAAAACCAGCATTTTGTAGATTCCAAAGAATTATTTGTTGTATAAATGATGAATAACTTAAATAAGTTATTATTTATAACATCTATATAAAAACCATATATTACCTGAGAATACAGTGATAATATTTGTTATGTATAAAATGATTGCAATCTCAGTTAAAAAATATTTTTTGCATGAGTTATTGTCATATACAGATGCTCACATTGTTTTGTTTAGATGAAAATGTTTGTAACTACTATGCACATTTTTGTTACTTAAGCCTTTTGGTCATGCTGCCGTAGCAAATCCTGTGCCTCTTAAGAACACGAACCTGTTTTACTTCATTCTTTATCAGATTTCTTAATGAAATATATACCATACTATTTTGTTTAACACATAAGCAGACACCCTGTCAGAAGCAAAGAGACATCTACTCCACCATTACCACCCATGCCTCTGCTAATGTGGCTGCTGAAGATGTTACCTAGAGCAGAGGACTTTGTGTTCAACCTAAGCACTTTATATCCTTTATTTTCAATTGGGTAGGAGATAAAATAATTCAGCAACAATAAAAGTCACACTTCTTAAAGTTGCAGTCTTGCCAATGCACCACAATGTAGCAGTCTCTCTTGTGAGGTATCACCTGGAGTTCTTCATCTCACCACCAAGATGATTAAGGGACGGGGACACAAGGGTGAGGTGGGAGTGAAAGTTTAATAATCAAAAGGAGGAAGCTCTCTGCAGCAGACAAGGGCATCCAAGTGGATTGCCGTTTTTACAGTTGAATCAAAAAGCTTTTATAAGGAACTCCTCTCAGCTATATATAAAACTGTCTGCACAATTCCCTTTATATATCCAGCTGTGGGTATGTCTCTAGTCAAGCACAAAGTGGGCTTCTCTTGTTTGTATAACTGTGGGTTTGTTTTAGGTAAGCCCCCCTCCTCCCTGTGCAAGTTCCCACAGAGGCCGCCATGTATATGCCTGAAAAAGGGAGGAAAATTTTACCTGGGAGTTTGCCAATTACACAAAGAACAGAAGGCATCTGTGCTGGACCCTGCATGCTTATCTGTTCAGGGCTTATCTGTAGGTGCAGTAGTTGTGATTTTTCAGGCAGACAGCTTCCCTGAGGACCAGTCTCTTACTTGTTTACCCAACTAATTTTCCTTTCCCTCTCCCTCAACATTATGCAGCAAAACAGAGTACACTTCTCTTTCCCAGTAAATCAGTGTTGGTACTCCACTCTGAATACTTGTATTATTGGATTTCTTAGGAAAAAAATATTTGGGATCATAATTTAGATGCCATCAAACAATGAACAAAAATATGCTACTTCGTTTCCCTTCTCTTCTCTTGTTACCAGACAATAGCTAGTTTTCTTTTCTCTCCAACTCCTTTTTTCTCTGCTTCTACCTGATTTTTAAAAAAAACTTCTACACATTTCCAATCTTAGTATAGCAGACATCAAATATGTGGTCAAACTACATACATAGGAAGAGTTGAATTATATTATTATATTCAAGCATTTTAAAATAATTCCCCTTCAGTTTGTTTTGCAGTTATTTTACATAATCAAATGTCTTCCTGATATATGTCCCAACCGAGTGGTTGTCAAGCTCTGCTTTGTTTTCTAATTGCATCAGAATTATCCACAATTCTTTTTTTTTTTTTTTTTTTTGAGATGGAGTTTTACTGTTGCCCAGGCTGGAGTGCAGTGGTGTGATCTCAGCTCACTGTCATCTCTGCCTCCCTGATTCAAGTGATTCTCCTGCCTCAGCCTCCCAAGTAGCTGGGACTACAGGCATGTACCACCATGCCTGGCTAATTTTTATATTTTTAGTAGAGATGAGGTTTCACCATGTTGTCCAGGCTGGTTTTGAATTCCTGACCTCAAGTGATCCACTGCCTGGGCCTCTCAAAGTAAGAATTATCCAAAATTCTTATGATAAATATGGATAAAACAGCACAACTCAAGATTTAATAAAAATTTCCAAGAGAAGAAACCCAGGAATATGCATTGAAAACGTCTCCCTCAGGTGATTCTGACGTGATATGTGGTCTGAGTTTAAAATGCAAGGAAAATTACCTTCCCTGTCCTCCAGTTGGCCCTTATGTCCAGATGTCCCTCTTCCCCTTTCTCATTGTGCTCTCTCCTGTGCCTTTGTTCTATTCTCCCTCCACTTCTCATCCAGATGCCAAGCCCTCTTCCATCAATTTCCTAAAACTCCAAATGGTCAGTTGCTTCTGTCCCATGAACAAGTTACTCAGGCAAACGTAGAATTTCGGCTTGGACCAAGCTGAATCAAGAGCTGCAATTAAAGATTTCCCTAAGCCCAGAGGGGACCAGCAAATACTTATAGAAGATTTTGGATTTCCTCCGAATGCATAAGGCTCTGGGTAACCTGATGCTATAGACCAAATGTTATTGTCCCCCTCAAATTCAAGTGTTGAAATCTAATTCCATATGTGATGATATTTGGAGGTAGGGCCTTGGGGAATGATTAGATCATGAAGGCAGGGACCACAGGAGTGGGATTAGTAGCCCCTATTGAAGGCACCATAGAGAGCTCCCTCATCTCTTCTGTCATGTGAGGACATGGTAGAAACATGGCTATGAACCACAAAGCAAGCCCACACCAGACATGGAATCTGCTAACCACTTGACCTTGAATTTTGCCATCTCCAGAACAGAGAGAAACAAATTTGTTTATAAGCTTCCTCATCTATGGCATTCTGTTTTGACCCCAGATTAGCTAAAAACACCAAAATATCAACTTGTACACCAAATTTTCAAAATGGATGCTAAAACTTTGATGGCAAAAGGTGACTGATCTGCCTGAGAAATGAACCTACATGATCCCTCTTTCCACAAAGCTGGAGGGAGAGTCAACACAAACAAAAATAGGTCAAAGTCTTCTAAAAGCCATACCTGAAGGGTTTTCAATATCACTTGATCAGATGGTAATTTAATCACCCAAAGAACCACAACAAAACACACAACTATCAGAGGTTTTCAACGTCACCTCAAAAACACCATCTACAATATTAGGGAGTGAAAGAAGTCATGGAAGTTTCAAAAAGTCAAACTTTATTTCAGTGTTGTGGTAGAAATTTGAAATTCTTAGTTAAGCTATAAATAAATCCTTGGGCAGGTGCAGGCATGGAGATTCTGGAGTGCTGCTGCTGAGTTTAAGAGCTTCCTTTGGAGATGCCCCCTGGCCCCCTCAACCCCTGTCCACCTGTCAAGAAGAGGCCATCCTGGGCAGCACATTAGAGGCAAATGGCCCAGATGCCCAGCTGAGGGCAAACCTCCATTCCTGGAGGAGGAGGTCACCTCTGGGAGCAGGAGGACCTGCTGGAACCCCTGCTCACAGGCTCCTTTTCTTGCTCTCCAGCACCTCCTGCAGGCAGGCAAACACCCCCAGCAGCAGTAGCAGCAGGGCCTTCAGCAGCAGGGCTGCTGCTCTGCTGAATGAGAGAAGTCCCTCTCCAGTGAGGCAGAGGAGCCCAGGTTGCACACCCTGGTCTCTGCCTCCATAGCTTCCACTGTGCCCAGGACTGGGAGCAGTGTGGGAGCTGCTGGCTGGAGCTGTGCTGGTCACCCCCTCTCTGCCACCTCTAGCTCCAGCCACACTTTCAGCTCCAGGGCTGAGGCCGGTGGCTCTACAGGAGGTGCCATGAAGTCAGGCAGCTTCTCACTGGGCTGGTCCTGTGCAGTCCCAGGGCAGCGGCAGGAGGGCTCTGGAGCTTCCTCTAGCTCCAGTGCTGTCCCTGGAAGGGGCTCTGCCCCTGGTGCTGGCACTGGCTCAACAGCTGGCACTGGAAATAGCTATGTTTCTGCACCTGAAGCAGGAACTGAAAAAGGAGAGAGGTCACCAATATCACTCACTTTCCACTGGAATTTCCAAACATGAAAACAACCTCACTGAATTTAAAGGAATTTCAGCCTGAAAACATTGTCCCTGGAAAGACTTCCAGACTGCAGGTGACCTCACCATGTGCCTGTGTCTCAATGAGCTCCAGAGGCTCCAGCTGGACAAGGACAATGTGCAGATGTGGCCCTGGTGGGATCACTGGTGAGGCCTGGCCTGGTAGCTCCATCTGGGGCCTGATGTCTACCTGGTGACTCCTGTCCTGTGGTACCTGGGGGGGCCTTCTGTCAAATGGCCAGAGGCATCTGGCGTGAGGGATGAGCCAACAAGGGCATCGTTGGAAAAGAAAGGCTCTCACTCCTGCCATTCCTGAAGCAGGAGCCTTGAGATGTGGGGATGCAACACAAGAACATCTTGCTCTCTTGAGCATCTCCCACCAAGTGAGCTGGCTATGGGGCTAACTCTAGGATGTGGGTGCCCGGTTATCGGGATTCTTTTTTTTTTTTTTTTTTTTTTTTGAGACATTGTCTCATTCTGTTGGCCAGGGTGGAGTGCAGTGGCATGATCTTGGCTCACTGCAACTTGCGCCTATTGGGTTCAATCAATTCTCCTGCCTCAGTCTCCTGAGTAGCTGGGATTACAGGCACGAGACAAGCACCACAACACCTGGCTAGTTTTTTTGTGTTTGTTTTTTGTTTGTTTGTTTGTTTGTTTGTTTGTTTTGAGACAGAGTCTCGCTCTGTCACCCCGGCTGGATGGAGTGCAGTGGCGTGATCTGGGCTCACTGCAAGCTCCGTGTCCTGGGTTCATGCCTTTCTCCTGCCTCAGCCTCCCGAGTAGCTGGGACTATAGGCGCCCACCACTACGCCCAGCTAATTTTTGTATTTTTAGTAGAGACGGGGTTTCACTGTGTTAGCCAGGATGGTCTCGATCTCCTGACCTTGTTTGCTTTTTGTATTTTTAGTAGACATGTGGTTTTACCATGTTGTTCAGGCTGGTCTCGATCTCCTGATTTCATGATCCTCCTGCCTCAGCCTCCCAAAGTGCTGGGATTACAGGTGTGAGCCACCGTGCCTGGCCTGGTTACCAGAATTCTAAGTTCTGTTAGGGTCTGTTGCCAAGGAAGTGAGGTTGCTTCTTTAAAGTTCCATCCCCTCAGCCTCCTCCTTCCAGAAGACCTACTCAGGACCCCAGTGGGCTGCTGACTGCTCATCCTCCCCACAGGTCAACTCCTTACCTGTACACAGTTATGTCCACCCAGGGCCTACTTGGACACCTGCACCTGATGTTCACCAGGGGCCTAGGAATCCACTTGGGGCCTGGGATCCTACAGGGGCCTAATGTTACCCTGCAGATTGAGTAGCCACCTGGGGACCAGGTATCAACCTGGGGACTGTGGTTGACCTGTGGGTTAATGTCCACCTGGGGACTGGTTATTCAGCTGAGGCCTGATGCGTACCTGGGGCCGAATGTCCCCCTCAGGGTGAATTCCACCTCAGACCTGTATGTCCACCTGGGGCCTGATGTCTGCCTTAGATCTATGTCCCACTGGGGCCTTGTGATCACCGGGGACTGGTATCCAGCTGTGGCCTGATGACCTACTGCATCCTGTTGCTCACCTACGGCCTGGTGTCTACCTGGGGCTTGGTGATCGCCTGGGAACTGGATATCAACCTGGGGCCTGGGTGTCCACTTAAGGCCTGATGTGTGCCTGGGGCCTGACTGTCCACCTGGGGACTGGATGTCCACCTTGGGTCTGATGACTACCTGAAGTTAGGTATCTACCTAAGGCTTGGTGTCTACCTGTGGCCTGATGTCCACATGAGTCTGGGGTTCAGTTGGGGCCTGCTGTACATCTGGGACCTTGGTGTCTATCTAAGGCCTGATGTCTACCTGGTGACTGCCATCCTCTTGAGGCCTGATATCCACCTGGGAATGGTTTATCCATGGAAATGGTTATCTCCGCCTGGGGCTGGATGTTGCCCAGGGGCTAGATGTCCACCTGTGGCCCTGTGTTCACCTAGGGCCTGATGTCCACCTGGGGCATGGTGTTCACCTGAGACCCGGGTATTTACATAGGGCCTGATGTCCAGCTGGTGCCTAGGTGCCCACTGGGGGCCTTGTGTTAACCTGGGGACTGGTATCCAGCTGGGTCCTAATGACCACCTGGGTTGAATTATTCACCTAGAGTTTGGTATTCACTTAGGGCTTGAGTGTCAGCCTTGGACATGGTGTCCACCTGGGCCTTGGTTATCAAACAAGGGGTTTGGTATCCAGTTGAGACATCATTTGCACCTGGGGTCTGAGTGTTCGCATGAGGCCAGATGACCACTGGGGGCCTGAATGTCAACCTGGTGTCTGAAATTCACTGGAAGCCTAGGTATCTAGCTGGGGCCTGATGTCCACCTGGGACTAGGTGTCAACATGTGGCCTGATGTAAACCTCTAGTTGAGTGTCCACCTTGGGCCTGATGTCCACTGGGGGACTGATGTTCCCCTTTGATCTGATGTCTACCTGGAAACTGTGTATTCACCCATGGCCTGATGGTCACCTGGGGTTGAATGTCCAACTGTGGCCAGATGTGCACCCGGATTCTGGGCATCCACCTGGGGCCTGATGTTCAGCTGGGGCCTGGAGTTCGCCTGAGGCATGATGCCTACCTGAAGCTTAATGTTCATCTGAGTGCTGGATGTTCACTTGGAGCCTGATATCCACCTGGACCCTTCTCAGGCCTGATGTCCACAGGACCCTTCTCAGGCCTGATGTCCACAAGTTGGCCTGGTATTCATCTGGGGCCTTCGTGTTAACCTGTGGCCTAATGTACTCCTGGGTTCTAGTGTCCTCTTGGGACCTGATGTCTACCAGGATCCAGGTATCCACCTGGGGCTCGGTATCCACCTAGGGCTTGATATTCACCTGGGGCCTAGGAATCCACTTGATAACTGGTGCCATCGGGGTCCTGATGTTCACCTTGGGACTGGGTAACCACCTGAGGCCTGATGTCCACTTAGGGCATAAGTGTTTATCTGGGGTCTAGTGTTCACATAGGGTCTGATGTCAACCTTGAGACTAGGTATTCACCAGGGGACTAGTGTCCAGCTGGGGCCAGATGTTCGCTTGGGGCCTGGTGTCAACTTGGAGCATGGTTGTCAACCTAGGACCTGATGTCCAGTCCAGTGTCCACCTTGGGCCTGTTTACTACCCAGGGCCTGTGTGTCCACATAGACCGTGGTGTCAATCTGGGGCCTGGGTATTTACCAGGCGCCTGGATATTCATTGGTACATTATGTCTACTGGAGTCTTTGTGTCAATCTGAGCTCTGATGTCTACCTAGAGATTGGGTATCCACCTAAGGCCTGGTGTTTACATGGGGCCTGTAACATGAGGTTCCAGATGAACTCAGATGTCCACCTGAGGCCTGATGTCCACCTGAGTTCTGAGTGTTCACATAGGGCCTGCTGTCAACTTGGGACCTAAGTGTTTACCTAGGGCCTGGGTGTCCACCTGGTGCCTGACTTCCAACTAGATCTTGTGTCAACATGGGGCCTGATGTCCACTTTGGGCCTAGGTAACTTCCTGATGACTAATGCCCACATGGCTCCTAAGGACCATCTGAGGCCTGGTATTAATTTAGAGACTGGTATCCACCTGGGGTCCAGGTATCCACTTGGGACCTGATGTTCACCTGGAGTGTAGGAATTCACGTGGGGCCTGGTATCCACCTTCAGGGTGTGTATCCAATTGAGTGCTGGTGTCCACCTGGAGTCCCGTGTATACCTGGGGCCTGATGTACACATGGAGCCTGGGAGTCCATCTAGGACCTGATGTTCAGATAAGGGCTGGCGTTCTCCTGGCCTGGTGTCCACATGGAGCCTGGGTGTACACTTGAAGCCTGATATCCCAGGTGGATACCTGGGCCCCAGTGGTCATCAGATCCTAGGAACCTCTCAGGCCCCAGGTGCACATAAAGCTCCAAGTGGCCACCTAGGCCACAGGTTGATACACAGGATCCAGGTGGACACTGGGTGCAAGATGAACACCAAGCCCCAGGTGTCTGCCTAGTCCTCAAGTGGACACCAGGCACTAGATTGACACACAGGTACCAGGTGGATATCAGGCCACAGGTGAACACCAGGCCCCAGGTGGTTGGGTTACTTATAGCATAGGTGGCCATCAGTTCCCAGGTCTATATCCACTCCCCACTTGAAAATCAGGATCCAGGTGGATACCCATGTCCTAGGTGAACACCAGGTTCCAAATGAACATCAGGCTCCAAGTGAACACACAGGCCCCAGTTCAATACCAGCCTCAGGTAGACATCAGGACCCAGGTGCACCCCAGGCCCAATGTGCATGCCTAGTCTCTTGGAATACATCATTTTCAAGGTGGACACCCAGATTCCTCAAAGACATCTGGTGCCAGGTGGATATCTGGCTGCAGGTGGACATCAGGCCCCAGGTGGAGACCCAGTACACAGGTGTAAATCAGGCTCCAGTATTTCATCAGGCCCCAGTTTAACACTTGACTAAAGGTGTGCATCAAGACCCAAGTTGACAGCCAGGCTTCAGGTGCACACTAGGCCCAAAGTGTACACCTGTGCCAAGGTGGGCATCAGACCCAAGGTGTACACCAGACCCCAAGTGGACATCAGGTTCCAGGTTGACACCAGTCTCTAGGTAGATCCTTAAACCCCAGTTGGTCATCAGGCCCAAGGTGGATACCTTGACCCCAGGGGGTCACCAGGTCTCAGGTCGACACTAAGCCCTAGGTTCAAGGTCTGAGATGGTTTCAGCCCCCATGTGGACTTTAGTCATAAGGAGCTTACCTAGGCCCTAAGTGGACATCAGGCCCCAGGTTGACACAATGAACCATGTAGATGTCAGGCTGTAAGTAGACACCCAGGCCCTAGGTAAATACTTTGGTCCCAAGCCAACATCAGGCCCTATGTGGACACCAAGACTCCAGGCAGATGTCAGGCCCCAGGTGAACACTGAACTCAGGGTGGTCATCAGGCCCTAGGTTGACACATAGGCCTCAGGTAGACAACAGGCACAGGTGAACTTCAGGCTCCAGATGAACGTCAGGCTCCAGGAAGAAGTCTGTGCCCCAGTTAAACACCGGGTCTTAGGTAAACATCAGGCCTCAAATGGATGCCCAGGCCCCAGGTGGATATAAGGCCTCAGGCAAACACCAGGCCCCAGGTAGACATTAGACACGAGATGGACACTCAAGCCACAAGTGAACATCTGTCCCCAGGTGGACATCCACCCAAGGTGGACATCAGGCCAGAGATGTACACCCAGGCCCCAGGAGAACCCCAGGCCCCAGGAGGACACTCAAGTGCCAGAAGGACACCCAGTCCCTAGGTAACTACAAGACCCCAAGTGGACATGATGTTCCATATGGATATGAGGCCCCAAGTGGATACTAGGCCCAGGTGGACCCCAGATCTCAGGGGCACACCAGGCCCCAGGGGAACACCAGGCCCTAGGTAAGCATGCAGTCCCAGGTGGACATCAGTTTCCAGGAGGACACCAGGACCCAGTTGCTCATCAAGCCACAGCTGAACACCAGTTCCCCATGAACACCAGTCCTCAGGTGGGCACCTAGTCCTCTCGTGTGCTTCAGGTGCCAGGCTGACACATAGGCACCAGCTGAACTCTGGGCCTCAGGTGAACATCAGATCCCAGGTTGTCACCCAGGCCCCAGGTGAACACCAGGTTTTAGGTGGACATGAGGTGCTAGGTGGATGTCTATGCTCCTGGTGAACCTCAGGCCCTAGTGGACACTCAGGCCCTTTATAGAAATCTGGCTCCATGTGCACTCCCAGGGCCCAGGTAGACATGAGGCCCCAGAGGAACACCAGTCCTTAATCACCTAAGACTGAATTCCCCTAGGGCTGGAGACTGAGTATTCACCTTGGGCCTAGGAATCTACCTGGGGCCAGATGTCGATCTGGGGCCTGATGTCTACTCAGGTTCAGCTGTCCATCTAGGGCGTGGTGTTTTTCTGGGACCCAGAGTCTACCTGAAATCTTGGTATCAACCTAGGGCCTATGTGTCCACTTGGAGTCTGATGTGCACCTGAAGCCTGAATTTTCACCTGGGATCTGATGAGCACCTGGGGCCCAGGTTTCCATCTGAAACATCAGGTTCTAGTTATACATCTGGGCCCCAGGTATACACTAGGCACCAAAAGAACTCCAGCCCCTATCTTAACATGAGGTCCTAGGTGAATGCCCAGGCCTCATGTCTACATTAGGCCTCAGGTAGACATGACTCCAGGTGGGCATCAGGCCTGATATTGGCTCTATGTCTCCACCCAAATCTCATGTTGAATTGTAATCCCCATGGGTTGAAGAATGGGCCTGGTGAATGGTTATTGAATCATGGGGGCAGACTTCCCACTTGGTGTTCTCGTGATAGAGTTCTTACGAGATCTGGTTATTTGAAAGTGTGTAGCACATCCCCCTTCTGTCTCCCTCCTCCTCCCACATGGTAAAAAGGGCTTGCTTCCTCTTGGCTTTACATCATGATTGTAAGTGTCCTGAGCCCGCCCAGTCATGCTCCCTATTAAGCCTGAAGAACTGTGGGTCAGTTAAACCTCTTTTCCTCATAAGTTACCCAATATCAGGTAGTTTTTTATAACTGTGAAAATGGACTAATACAAGGCCTTAGGATAACAACCATGCTTCAGGCCATAGGTGGACATCTGGCTGCAACTGGACACTATTCCCCAGGTGGATACCTAGGCTCAAGGTTGACATTAGTCCCCAGGTAAACAACAAGCCCCAGGTGAATACCTATGCCCTAGTAGACATCAGGCCTCAGGCTGACACTCAGTCTAACCTCAACATTAGGCTCCAGGTGGACGCCCAGACTCCAGGTGGATACTAGACCCCAGGGGTACACCAGACTCCTGGTAGGCATAAGGCCCCAGGAGGACACTAGAATCCAGGTGTACATAAAGCCACTGGTTGACACCAAGCCCTCAGATGAACACCAGGCCAATTAGTGGACGTTAGGCACATGAGAATACTTGGGCACCAGGTAGGTATCAGGCCCCAGGTAAACATCAAACTTCAGGTGGACATCATTCTCCATGTGAACTCTAGCCCCAGCTAAACATCAGGCTCCAGGTGGAAGCCCAGACCCCAGGAGCACTTCTGGCCACAGTTGAACATCTGTCTCCAGGTGAATATCAGACCATGGATGGATAGCAAGTCCCCAGGTGGACATCAGGTCAAAAGTGAATATAAGTCTCTAGGAAGACATCTGGCCCCAGGTGGATACTGAACTAGAGGTTTACATCAGGCCCTAGGTTGACAGCAAGGCCCAGGTAGACCGCAGGCCCCAAGTGAAGACCAGGCCCTAGGTGGATACCTAGGCCCCTAGTAAACCTCAGATTCTAGGTTGACATTCAGGCCCCCAGTAGTCATTTGGCCCCAAGTGGACACTCAGGCGCCAGGTTCACATGATGTCTTAACTGGACACCAACGGGCCAGTTTGATACCCAATCCTATGTGGGTGCCAGGTCCAAGGTTACACTCAAGCCCCAAGTGGACACCAGGCCCCAGGTGAATAATACAACCCAGGTGGTCATTAGGCCCCAGAATGACACCAGTCCCCAGGTTAACAGGAAGCCCCCAGTGGGTACCTAGGCCCCAGCTGGACATCAGGCCCAATGTGGACAAACAGGATCAAGATGGACATCAGGACTCAGGTGGACATCTGGTGACAGGTGGACAACAAGCCTGGTGTGTACCTTGTCCCCAGGTGGTCATCAGGCCTCAGTTCAACACCAGTCCCTGAGTGGATTCCTCGGCTCCAGGTGGACATCCGGTCTTCAGCTGAACATCAGACCCCAGGTGAACACCAGGTCTTAGGTGGACATTAGGCCCCTGGTGGACATAAAGTACCAGTGGACATCCATGCTGCAGGTGGACACCCAGGGCCCAGATGGGCATCAGGCCCCATTTGGACATTGAGGCCCCAGGTGGATATCAGGCCTCAGGTGAACCCTAGGTCCAACATAGACATCAGGCCTTAGGTTGACACTCAAGCACCAGATGGACTGCTGCACCTAAGCAGAAAACAGACCCCTATCTGGATATCTGAGATACATGTATACACCAAGCCCCAGGCTGACATCCAGACCCCAGGTGGACACCATACCCCAGGTGAACAGCAGGCAACAGTTTGTCACCAAGTACCTAAGTGAAACAAAGCCTTAGGTGATTACCAGGCCATAGGTAGTCATTAGTCTCCAGCTGGACAATAGTCCCTAGGTGGATACCCAGGCCCCAGGTGGACACTAGACCCCAGATTAACACAAAAACCAAGTAAAAAATCAAGCCCCAAGTGGACAACCAGGCCCTAGGTAAATACACAAATCTCAAGCTGACACCAGGCCCTATTTGGACACCCAAGCCCTAGGTGGACTTCGGACCCCAGGTGAACACTGAACTCTAGAAGGTCTTCAGGCCCTGTGTTGACTACCTGGCCCCAGGGAGACACCAGGCATAGATGAACTTCAGGCACCAGCTGTACATCAGGTTCCAGGCAAATGTCCAGGCCCCAGGTGGATATCACACCTCAGATGAACACCAGGCCCCAGGTAGACATCAAAAACCAGGTGGACACTCAGGCCCCTACTGAATATCCGTCACCAGGTGGACATCTGTCCCAAGGTGGACACGAGGCCACAGATGTACACTTAAGCCTAAGGCAGACCCCAGTCCCCAGGAAAACTCCAGGCTCCATGAGGGCACTCAGACCCCAGATGGATGCAGTGGTCCTAGGTAAATACAAGGCCCCAGGTAGACATCAGGCCCCAGTGAACACTGGAGCCCAGGTGGGTACCTAGTCCCCAGGTGTGCATCAGGCAGAAGGTTGACCCAGTCCCCAGCTGAACTCTGGGCCCCAGCTGAACATCATAACCCAGATGGTCACCCAGGGTCCAGGTGAACACATGGTCTTAGGTGGACATCAGGCCCCACATGAACACCCAAGCCCCAGGTAGAGATCAGGCCTTAGGTGTACAGCAGACCTCAGGTGGGCATCTGGCTCCAGATGGCCATAGGTGGATAACTAAGCCTCTCCTGGATATCAGGCCCCAGGTGGGCACCAGGCTCCAGGCGAACATCTAGCCCCAGGGGGACATCCAGCCCCTGGTGGACATCAGGGCTCACATGGATAAGCAGTTTACAGATGGACACCTGCCACAGGTGCCTCACCTCTACTCCCTGAAACCTCACTTTCCCTCATGGGCCTTCTGTCCGACTTGGGGTACCCCTAGCCGCCTTAGGTGCACACTGGACTAGAACCAGGGACACCAGGGTCCCTGGGGCTCAGCGCAAGTGTTCATGGGAATACACTTTCGTCCGTGGGGGACCCAGTCCCCGCTTCTCCGTGGCACAGTTTTTTTTTTCTCTGCCCCAGGTGCCTCACCTTCCCCTCATGGGCCTTCTGTCCACCTTGTGGTACCCCTGGCGGCCCGAGGCGCACCCTGGGCTCGAACCAGGGATGCCAGGGTCCCCAGGGCACAGCGCAAGGGCTGATGGGGAGACACTTTCTTCCGTGGGGGTCCCAGGCCCCGCTTCTCCGTGGCGCGTTTTTTTTTCCTCTGCCCCAGGTGGGTCACCTTCCCCTCATGGGTCTTCTGCCCGCTTTGGGGTACCCCTAGTGAACCCAAGCACATGCTGGGCTCAAATAAGGGTCGCCAGGGTCCCCGGGGCCCAGCGCAAGGGTTGATGGGAACACACTTTCACCCGTGGGGGACCCAGGCCCCGCTTCTCCGCAGCGCTGTTTTTTTTTTTTTCTCTGCCCCAGGTGCCTCACCTTCCCCTTATGGGCCTTCTGCCCGCTTTGGGTTACCCCTAGCAGGCCAGAGGCGCACCCTGGATTCGAGCCAGGGACGACAGGGTCCCCGGGGCCCAGCACAAGGGCGGATGAGAAGGCGCTTTCGTCCTTGGGGGACCCAGGCCCTGCTTCTCTGTGGCGCGGTTTTTTTTTTCTTTTATGCCACAGGTGCCATACCTCTCCTCCCTCAAACCTCACCTTCCCCTCATAGGCTTTCTGCCCGCCATGGGGTACCCCAAGAGGCCCGAAGCGCACCCTGGTCTTGAACCAGGGATGCCAGGGTCCCCTGGGCCCAGCTCAGGGGCTGATGGGAAGACACTTTCTTCCGTGGGGGACCCAGGCCCCGCTTCTCCGCGGCACAGTTTTTTTTTTTCTCTGCCTCAGGTGCCTCACCTACCCCTCATGGGCCTTCTGCCCGCTTCTGGGTACCCCTAGCGGGCCCAAGGCGCACCCTGGGCTCGAACCAGGGTCGCCAGTGTCCGCGAGGTCCAGCGCAAGGCCTGATGGGAAGGCACTTTCGTCAGTGGGGGACACAGGCCCAGCTTCACTGCGGCGCGGTTTTTTGTTTTTTTTTTCTGCCACAGGTGCCTCACCTTCCCCTCATGGGCTTTCTGTCCGCCTTGGGGTACCCCCAGCGGCCCGAGGCGCACCCTGGGCTCGAACCAGGGATGCCAGGGTCCCTGGGGCCTAGCACCGGGTCTGATGGGAAGGCACTTTCTTTCATGGGGAACCCAGGCCTCCCTTCTCCGTGGCAAGGTTTTTTCCTTTTCTCTCCGCCCCAGGTGCCTCACCTTCCCCTCATGGGCTTCTGCCCACTTTGGGGTACGGCTAGCGGCCCAAGGCGCACACTGGGTTCGAACCAGGGTCGCCAGGGTGCACGGGGCCAAGCGCAGGGGCTAATGGTAAAGCACTTTCGTCCGTGGGGGACCCAGGCCCCCCTTCTCCGTGGCGCGTTTTTTTTTTTTTTTTTTTCTGCCACAGGTGCCTCACCTCTCCTCCCTCAAACCTCACCTTCGCCTCATGGGCCTTCTGCCCGCCTTGGGGTACCCCTAGCGGCCCGAGGCGAACCATGGGGTCTAACGAGGGACGCCAGGGTTCCCGGGGCCCAGTGCAAGGGCTGATAGGAAGAAACTTTCGTCTGTGGGGGACCCAGACACCGCTTCTCCGCGGTGCAGTTTTTTTTTTAGTTTTGGCTGCCCCAGGTACCTCACCTTCCCCTCATGAGCCATCTGCCTGCTTTGGGGTACCCCTAGTGGACCGAGGCGCACCCTTGGCTCGAATCAGGGTCGTCAGGGTCCCCGGGGCGCAGCGCAAGGGCTGATGGGAAGACACTTTCGTCCGTGGCGGACCCAGGCCCCGCTTCTCTGCGGCGCGGTTTTTTTTTTTGTTTTTTTTTGTTTTTTTTTTTCTGCCACAGGTGCCTCACCTCTCCTCCCTCAGACCTCAACTTCCCCTCATGGGCTTTCTGCCCGCCTTGGGGTACCCCTAACGGCCCGAGGCGCACCCTGGGTTTGAGCCAAGGTCGCCAGGGTCCATGGGGCTCAGCGCAGGGCCTGATGGTAAGGCACTTTCGTCCGTGGGGGACCCATGCCCTGCTTCTCCGTGGCGCGTTTTTTTTTTTTCTGCCACAGGTGCCTCACCGCTCCTCCCTCAAACCTCACCTTCCCCTCATGGGCCTTCTGTCTGCCTTGGGGTACACCTAGCGGCCCGAGGTGCACTGTGGGCTCGAACCAGGGAAGCCAGGGTCCCTGGGGCCCAGCGCAAGGGCTGATGGGAAGACACTTTCGTCCGTGGGGGGGACCCAGTCCCCGCTTCTCCGCGGCGAGTTTTTTTTTTTTTTTTCTCTGCCCCAGGTGCTTCACCTTCCCCTCATGGGCCTTCTGCACACTTTGGGGTACCCCTAGCGGCCCGAGGCGCACCCTGGGCTCGAACCATGGAGGCCAGTTTCCATGGGGCCAAGCGCAGTGGCTGATGGGAAGGCACTTTCGTCCCTGGGAGACTCAGGCACCGGTTCTCCGCTGCGCGGTTTTGTTTTTTTTTTTTTTTTTTTCTGCCGCAGGTGCCTCATCTCTCCTCCCTCAAACCTCAGCTGAAACTTTTGGGCCTTCTTTCCTCCTTGGGGTACTCGTAGCAGCCTGAGGCACGGCGTGGGCTCGAACCAGTGATGTCAGCGTCCTCGGGACCCAGCTCAAGGGCTGACGGAAAGACACTTTCGTCAGTGGGGGACCCAGGCCCCGCTTCTCCACGGCGCGGTTTTTCTTCTTTCTCTGCCGCAGGTGCCTCACCTTCCCCTCATGGGCTTTCTGCTCTCCTTGGGGTACCCCTAGCGGGTCCGAGGTGCACCCTGGTTTCCAGCCAGGGACACCAGGTTCCCCAAGGCCCAGCGCAGGGGCTGATGGGAAGGCACCTTCGTCCGTGGAGGAGCCAGGCCCCGCTTCTCTGCAGCGCGGTTTTTTTTTTTTCCTTTGCCCCAGGTGTCTCACCTTCCTCTCATGGGCCTTCTGCCGGCTTCTGGGTAACCCTAGCGGGCGCGAGGCGCACCTGGGGCTCGAACCAGGGTTGCCAGGGTCCATGGGGCCCAGGGCAGGGGCTGATGGGAAGACACTTTCATCCGTGGGGGACCCAGGTCCCGCTTCTTTGCGGCGCGGTTTTTTTTTTTCTCTGCCCCAGGTGTCTCACCTTCCCCTAATGAGCATTCTGCCCGCTTTGGGATACCCCTATTGGGCACGAGGCGCACCCTGGGCTCTAACCAGGGTCGCCAGTGTCCATGGGGCCCAGCGCAGGGGCTGATGGGAAGGCACTTTCGTACGTTGGGGACCCAGGCCCCGCTTCTCCGCGGCGTGTTTTTTTTTTTTTTTTTTCTGCCACAGTTGCCTCACGTCTCCTCCCTCAAACCTCACCTTCCCCTCATGGGCCTTCTGTCCGACTTGGGGTACCCCTAGTGGCCAGACGCACACCCTGGGTTCGAAACTGGGACACCAGGGTCCCCGGGGCCCAGCGCAAGGGCTGATGCGAAGACACTTTCTTCCTCGGGGACCCAGGCTCTGCTCCTCTGCGACGTTTTTGTTTTTGTTTTTTTCGCTTTTCCCCAGGTGCCTCACCTTCCCCTCATGGGTTTTCTGCCCGCCTTGAGGTACCACTAGCGGGCCCGAAGCGCACCCTGGTTTCGAGCCAGGGACGCTAGGGTCTCCAGGGCCCAGTTCAGGGCTGATAGGTAGGGACGTTCGTCTGTGGGGGACCCAGGCCCCACTTCTGGGCGGCGCAGTTTTTTTATTTTTTTCTCTGCCCCAGGTGTCTCACCTTTCCCTCATGGGCCTTCTGTCTGCCTTGGGGTACCCCTAGCAGGCCGAGGCGCACGCTGGGCTCGAGCCAGGGATACCAGGGTCCCTGGGGCGCAGCGCAAGCGCTGATGTGAGGACAGTTTCTTCTGTGGGGGAGCCAGGCCCCGCTTATACGCGGCGCGGTTGTTTTTTTTTTTTTTTTTTTTTTCTCTGCCCCAGGTGCATCACCTTCCCCTCATGGGCCTTCTGCCCGCTTTTGGGTACCCCTAGCGGCCTGAAGCGCACCCTGGTCTCGAACCAGGAATGCCAGGGTCACCTGCGGCCAGCGCAAGGGCTGATGGGAAGACACTTTTGTCCGTTGGGGACCCAGGCTCTGCTTCTCCGTGGTGCGGTTTTTTTTTTTCTGCCACAGGTGCCTCACCTCTCCTTCCTCAAACCTCAACTGCCCCTCATGGGATTTCTGCCCGCTTGTCTTCCGAGGCTGCGGTGTGGATCTCGCACTGCGGCCGCCTCGCCTTGGCTGGGGAGAACCTCGGTGGGTAGGATTCAGAGGGGCTTTTGGTTTCCCGTTTTCCACACTGAACCCTTCTAACTGGTCTCTGACCCTGATTATTAAGGGCTGCAAACAGGAAGGATTTTATTCACCATCGATGCGGCTCCGAGTAGTCCCAAAGCGAGGCAGTGCCCCCAAGGTCTGTGCTGAGAACGCTGCTCTGCCTTCGCGGTGACCCCCGGGTCTGTGCTGAGCAGAACGCAGCTCCGCCCTCGCGTTGCCCCCGGCCCGCCCGCCCGGGTCTGTGCTGAGGAGAACATGCTGCGCTTCGCTGTATCTCCGAAGTCTGTGCAGAGGAGAACTCAGCTCCGCCCTGGCAATGCTCTCCGGATCTGTGCTGAGGAGAAGGCAGCTCCGCCCTCGCAAAGGCACACGGCGCCGGCGCAGGCGCAGAGAGGCGCACGGGGGTACCCCTAGCGGGCCCGAGGCCCACCCGTGGCTCGAACCAGGGTCTCCAGGGTCCACAGGGCCCAGAGCAGGAGCTGATGGGAAGGCATTTTCATCGTGGGGGACCCAGGCCCTGCTTCTCCGTGGCGCGGGTTGTTTTTTTTTTCTTTTTCTGTGACAGGTGCCTCACCACTCCTCCCTCAAAACTCACCTTCCCTCATGGGCTTTGTGCTCCCAAAGCTCCCCTTGGGGTGCACTTAGCGGCTGAGGCACACCCTGAGCTCGAACCAGGGACACCAGGGTCCCCAGGTCCCAGTGCAGGGACTGATGGGAAGACACTCTCGTCCGTGGGGAATCAGGCCGCGCTTCTCTGCGGCGAAGTTTTTTTTTTCTCTGCCCCAGGTGCCTCGCCTTCCCCTTATGGGCTTTCTGCCCACCTTGGGGTAACACTAGTGGCCCGAGGCGTACCCTGGGATCAAACCAGGGACGCCAGGGACCTCAGTGCCCAGCGAACGGGCTGAGGAGAAGACAATTTCCTCCGTGAGGGACCCAGGCACTGCTTCTCGGCGGCGCGTTTCTTTACTTTCTCTGCCTCAGGTGCCTCACCTTCCGCTCATGGACCTTTTGTTCGCTTTCTGGTACCGCAAGTGGTCCCGAAGCGCACCCTGGGATCAAACCAGGGTCGTCACTGTCCACTCTGCCCAGCGTACGGCATAATGGGAAGGCACTTTCATCCATGGGGGACCCAGGCCCCGCTTGTCTGAGGCGAGGTCTCCTGTTTTTTTTCTGCCCCTGGTGCTTCACCTCTATTCCCACAAACTTCAAATTCAACTCATGGTCCTTCTCTCCGAGTTGGGGTACCCCTAGTGGCCCGACGCGCACCCTGGGCAGCAACGACGGATGCCAGGGTCCCTAGGAACCAGCGCAAGGGCTGATGGGAAGACATTTTCGTACATGGATGACCCAGAAACAGCTTGGCGATGCATTTTTTCTCTGCCCCAGGTGCCTCAACTTCCCCCCATCAGCCTCCTGTCTCTCTGCGCCTGCGCCGGCGCCGTGCGCCTCTCTGCGCGGCCACCGTTGCTGGGGGATGGGTCCCTGAGACTTGGCGAAGTAGGAGTACTGGACTCGCGCAAAGGCCCTGTCTCGCAGGTTTTCAGGTGGGCTTGGCGTTTCCTCCGCTTTGAGGGGCAGGTCTCCAGTGGCCCCCCAGGCGCAGGCCTGGACATCACTGTCCGTCTCGTCGTCGCCCCCTACGGCCTCAGAGACACAGGCTCACTGCATGTGCTCTTGGGGGACGTCAGTGCCACGTGTGGTCACACTGGCTCCGGCTCGGACTAGCCTCTGTCTCTCTTTGCCCGTGTCGCCGGAAGCCGCGTCGAGATGCCGGAGCCCCCGGGCCTTGGAGATGAAGGCAGGCCCCTGCTCCACCCAGGAAGGAGGGAGGCAGTGGGCTCGTGGGTCAGTGCCTTTGCAGGCGACAGCACGCCTTGCGGCCCTGGGGATGTTTCTGTGCCCCGGCGAGAGCCTTTCCGCCTCACTGCATTGTAACCCCATTCCCGATCACCGGGTGGGATCCATCATCGGATCCCAAGAGGAGTCCGCGCAGCCCAGCCGACACCCCGAAGCTCCTCCTTCACCGGGAACCCAAGCAGAAGACCGATCACGGAGGTCCTGACGACAGGACTCCTATGGGTCCGACCCTGGGTCTCCCGCAGGCCCCTCTGGTAGTCCTCTTCCCACCCGCCGCCTGGGGCTGCGCCGCAGCCGCCGCCGCAACCTCCAGCACCGCCGCCCCAGTCCCCGCAGCCGCCGCGTTGCCGCCATTTTTTAAAGGGTCCGCAGCCTGACTCTGCCGAGTAAGGGGGGGTGGGGGCGGGTGAGTCGGCCTCGCCAGTGCGCATGCGCGAGGCCGGAGCCGCCGCTTTGGTCACAGTGACCGCCACCATTGCCCGGGGATGGGTCCCTGAGACTTGGCGAAGTAGGAGCCCTGTGTGATCGTGCGTCAGAGTCGGGGCTGAGACCAGCCCTGGCCAGGGCAGTTACCAGGACGGTCTCCGGAGGCCGAGATTCGCGGAGGGTCCACCAGTAGGAAGAAACCCCAGGAGGAAGAAACCTCAGACAGATCGCCGGGGAGGCAGCGCGGGATCCCAGCCTCAGGCGTGCGCGGACGGTGTGCGGGTGAATCTCCCCAAAAGTGGCGCCCTTGTGATGTCGAGGACAGGTCTCCCTGTGTGCCCGTGGGCTGCTGTCTCACCGGTGGCTCGTCGTCGCGGAGAGCAGAACCCGGCAGCTTCAGGGGCTGCCTGGGGGTGGGTGTTACCTGCTGTATGTCTGTGTGCGTTATGGGTGTGTGTGTGTGTGTCTGTGTGTCTGTGTGTGTGCGCGCGCACGCGCGTCTGTGTGCCCACTACTGTCTCTTACGTCTCTGTCTCTCTCTCTCTCCCTTCTCGCTCTTTCCGTCGCCCTCTCTTTCTGTCTCTGTCCGTCTGTGTGTGCATGCGCCTTGGGACACATGTTCCCTGTGCGCCGGAGGCTGGGTTTCTTGCACGTCGGCCTTTCTTCTGGTCAGCCTCTCCCCGCGTCTCTGCCTGGGTGTTGTGGCCAGTTGGCAATCGTTTTCCCGGCGGTTCCGGTTTGGGGGTCTGTGAAGGCCTGGGCAATGTGGGCATCTGTGTCGGAGCCGCAGGGGTTTTCATTCCCTCCCCACCCGGAGCAGCCTCTTTGCTAGCCTAGATCCAGACGACCGCTCCCCAACCAAGGACAACGGCCTCCAAGCGCTCATTGTCCACCCGCAGGAGGGTGTCGGCAGACCTTCCAGAAGATGCTTCTCACGCCTCTCGCCCTCTGCCCTCATCGCGAAATCTAGCCACAGCTCGACGCAGGGACGGAGAAGGAAGCCGTCAAGGGGATGGGGCAAGCATCTCTGTCACTCAAAGGCATTATAGAGGTCCACCACAGAGGCATATCCAGTATGGTGCCCACCACCTCATCTTGGGGCTGGGTGAAGGGCAAGTGGCACTGCAGGAAATGGTGGCCTTGTTCTCTGTCCTCAAGTTGTTCCAAGATTGCAGACCACACCAGTGCTTGGGCTTGTGAGAATCGAGGGCTCTCCAACAGTTCAGAAACAAGCAGTCTGCCGCAGGGGTGAGAGGAGCAAAAGACACCCCCACCTATGCTTTTCCATGGAACATCAAGTCCCTCAGAGTATAATCTCTGCTGGATTCTTGCTTCCTTATTTTTCTGTGTTCAAGTTTCTTCTTGTGGTGCTCTAGCACTCTTCCGTCAATATAGATATTGGAATTAACGATTATTTATCCATAACTTTGCTTTCTCTTTCTGAGAATAACTAGAGTCGAATATCCATAGTCAGTCATATTGAAGAAAAACCTCAGAAATATACTTCTTAGTAACTCAACACCCAAGAGCAAATCATAATGGAAATTATAAAATATTTTTAATTAAAAAATGTATACTACATTATAAAATGTGTCATTTTAGAGGAAAGTGTAGAACCTTAAATTCTTATTTTATGAGGACAACAAATTAATATTTAAAATGTTTTGAATTTATTGGAAGAAGTTAGAAATATCAACAGAAATAAAAGGAAATAAAAAATACATGCATAGTGATTAAGAATACAGGGAAAGAAAAGTCAAGAAATATGGCCAAAATTTGTTAGTTGTTGTAGGAGCCATACAATAACAAAACTCTGGAGAAATGGCTTGATAAAATTAAGAGAAGAAACAAGTATGCAATCTCAGGAATCAAAATAGGAAATAATTATACATCAGGTGTCAAGAATTTTTTTTGTTTTTTGGAAAGGATCAGATGGTAAATATTTTAGGTTTTTGGGCTATATGGTTTGTTGCAACTAATCAATTCTATTGTTGTGGCATAAATTGACAGTATGTCAATGAATGAGCATGACAGTGTTCCAGTAATACTTTATTTATAAATACTGTCTGGCTTATTTGCCACAGTTTATTGAGTTTTGTTATAAATAATACAAATATCAAGAAGGTAAATTAGTATAGTATGAAAACGTTTAATTCAATAAATTTGGAAATATATGTAAAATGTGTACAATTACTTGAAACATGCATTTTTCCAAAAGGAACCTAAAGTGAAAAGAAAAATCTGAATTGTGCTACAACAAATGCATGTAATCAGTAGTCAGAAATCATATCATAAAGATAATTTCAAGCCATGATGACTTTACTGGCAAGTTGTTTCAAACATGAAACAAAACAATAATTCCATTCTTACATACAATTCTTTCTGAGCATGAAACAGGAAAGAACATACTCTATTTCATTTTATTATGCTATTATGACTCTGATATTATAACCTGACAAGGATAGTAAAGGGAAAGTAAATTAAACACCAATGTAATTTATGAAAATAATGAAGGAAAACTTAAAAAAGTACCATGCAGAAATAAGCAATGCATTAAAATGTAAGACATCACAGCCAATGTTTATTCTAAGAAACCCTGGGAAGCAATAATGGCCTCATGTAAAGGTATCAATTAATATGATACACCACAACAAATAACTTAACAATATTATAAGCATATTTAATTTTATTTTCTTAAAAAGTCATACATTTTAACAACCCGAAATTAAAAGAGAATCTAGTTTAACTGATAACATTTGTTTTCAAAAGTTCTATTGAAATTATAACACTTAACAATGGAATGTTAAAATATTTCCTTTGTGATTGGGAACAAAATAAACATAGATGGTACAAGCAATTTTATTTATCCTTTTGCAGGTCTTAGACACTGGGATAGGATTGTAAATATTAAAAAAAATAAGAATTATGAAAGAGAAAACAGATTACTATGTTACCGATGACACTAAGTACACAGAAAATTCAAAATGATTGTAAGATACATTATACTAATGAATATGAGCTTTTAGCAAGATGCTTTGACACAAACGTATTATGCAATATTGAAATGCATTTCATATAAGTAGAGAACTTTATTTAGATGTGTCAATGTGGCTTACTCTCACAAACATAATATTTAGTGGCATGATTAAGTCACAAAAGAATATGTACAGTATAACTCAGTTTAAATAAAGTTCAAATAAACATAGACATAACATTGACATAAATATATTCTTGAATTGAAAAACTTTAATGAAATCACTTCTCCCCAAAATTAATCTTTGTAACTAGTGCATCCAAAGTAAAACCCAGTAAGGTTTGATTTAGATATTGACAAGCTAATTCTAGAATTTATGTAAACTCTAAAAATATTAAAATTCAGTTAATAATTTATTGAGGAAGGAAGAATATATTACAGGAAATATTATAAGAATTAATGCAATGTGATATTAACAAAGTAATAAATAATCAATGAAATGGAATAGGTAGACTACAGTAAGGAAAATATAAGAACCCATGATATGTAAGAAAGCTAGTATTATAGATCAGTGGTGAAAAATAAATTTGCCAATAAATGAGAGTGAGAAAACTGGCTATACATATGGAAAATAATTAAAGTGATTCTTTACCTTATATAATATGTAACAATCAATTCCTTGGCGATCAATATTTAAATGTAAAGCCAGGCAAAAATTACAGAAAACCCGACAGTAAAACAAAGAAAATGGCTTGCACATGTGCTTTATAAAATGTAAAATATGTGTCCACCATACATATTTAGAATCACTTTAACATATTTTTAACACAAAAATGCAAATGAAAATGTTTTATATGTACATTATTACTTATACAACAGATTGACCAAAAACAGTCTGACAAGACAGACTTCTGGCAAACATATAGAGCAATAATAATTTCATATGCTTTCTTGGAAATGGAAATTATATCCGTTTTAAAAAGAGGCTTGTATTACCCAGTAATATTGAAGATGACCATATATTCTAATCAGCAATTGGCTTTCACTCCTTATTTTGTATGTACATGGTTGGCCATTAAGAAATGTGATCCAAAATATTTACAGGCTCAGTTAAGTACTATAAGCAATGCAAAGGTTAAACAACAGTAGAATGTGGTAGATTCATACAGTGGAATACTACACTTTAGAAAAAAATAGATAACTTTATTTAGATATGTTAATGTGGCTTACTCTCACAAACATAATATGCAGTGGTATGATTAAGTCACAAAAGGATATGTACAATATAATTCAGTTTAAATAAAGTTCAGGAACACAAAACAACAAGTTGGATTGTTTATAAAAGGTTTACTGGACACTAAATCTATAAAGATAATAACAGAAATTATTTTAACACATCCTTCAATTACCTTTCATTCCTCCAGAAATTTGTTGAAACCTCTTGAATGCCTATGACCTTTCTCATTTCCTCCACTGTTTAATTTCCTTTTATACTTTGTTTAAAACTTTGAATGGACATATGAGAGATGAAGTCATATTTTTCTAAATAAGTTCAAAAATATTTTGCTTTAAAATATAAGTAGTGATTAAATTTCTAAGAATTGAGCAATAGTTGAATGTTATACATTTAGTTTTCATGAATATTTCTCTCTCCACATTTCTTCTTCTCAACTTGCTCATATCCCTTCAAATGACAAAATACTTAGAAGTATTTGAGTCAAGTTAGATATATTTTTGAAGATATTATTTGCTTATTTATCTATGAGAGGTCAACAACAACTTCCATGAATATTAGGAAAGCAAATGTCGGTAGCTCTATTCACTTCAATATTGAATTCACCTATATCTGAAATTTAAATGTCAGTGATAAGACTGACAGAAAGTGTCACACACTTTAGGTAACACAGCACTAAGTGGCAACACTTTAATATTGTCACTATTACATTTTTCAGATATACAATATATACTTTACCAAGAATCCTAGTCTATTATGTTCTAAGGATGAGCTGTCTTTATACAAATTCACAATAAATAGCTGTGTAAATAAGAGTTACCATTTTTATTTTATAGCATAAAATGTATTTCAAATAGTTGTACAAATCAGATATGTTATAAAAGAAACATCTTTCCTATTATTGAATTACCCAAAGTTGCTTACCTAACATAGAATCTTGTGGAGGAAAATAGGCCAGTGAAATTCAGTGATTATTCATTATGATCAAGGTGATTAGTACAGAAATCTCCATGACTATTCTGTGCAGTGTCTTTTCTTTAACAATATTTTATAATCATTCTTATTTTTACTTTCTGTAGACAAATCCTTTCTTGTTTTGCCTCCTTTTAGGTACTTTTGAGATTATAAAAGTATATAGTAAAAACAAATGCACACACAAAACTATTCAGTTGGTATACTTAATTTTGTTAGAATAGATTTAGTCCAGGTATATTCCAGTGGTTTCTTACTGAGAGTCCATCCTAGTCCCCTGATTATTACTTGAGTGTTCACTGATGGTTTTTCCTTCTTGTTAACAGGAAATAGTTTTGGTTTCTGCTAAAAATGGCAGTTGCCACCAGTATGTGTGAGTTTTATTTCTTAGAAAATAACTATATATTTGGTGAATATCTTAGTTTTGCATTTAATTTGCTAAGCAGAATCAATGCAATCACTATCATATTCTATAGTTTTTCCTAATAGATTGATAGAGTAAAATGTATGGTTTTTCTAATTTTTAGCATTTGTGTCCAATAAAATGACTTTATATGATTTTTTTCTTGTTGGTTCATTTTTTTTCTGGTCAAAGTTTCTTCTTTAGTTTCTCATATAATTGATTCAAAACTCCTAAGTGATGATTACAGTAACCTTAGGTATTTCTTAATTCTCCATAATAAATATAGCATCTGAGTCTAATTTCTTCTGGGAGATTTATTAACTTTTAAGACAGCATGTGTCACATAATCTAACAATGCATTTTGCATACTAAAATGATGAAACATTCTTAATGAATTTAAATAGCTACTTTATCAGAAACAGGAGTCATAGGTTGAATTTTTTTGTGAGTAGTAGAGCTAAGAATATTTGTAAAACAGCTCTCCATGATGGGCTCCAACAGGATGAAGTAAGACCACCTACCAAGGAAGTAAGATCAGTCCCAAAATGAACTGTATATGAAATTCTGCTCTAAGATCTTTTTGCTTTTTAACATTTCAGAAAAGGCTAATTTTGGTAATGGACTACAATACTTGTTTTGCTACATAAGCTTTCAGGATTTTTTTTCTTTTATTTTTATTTTAAAATTAATTTTTGAGCAGTATTCTTGACTGCAAGAAAGCTTCTGTCAGTTTCCCAAATTACTCAAATAACATGTATTTTACACTGAAAATCATGAGCTCCTTAACTCAAAGATTTTCCTTGTTGTTTTTGTAACTATTTACCATACAATTACTTGTAAATGAAATGTATAACATAAATATGCGCTAACATAAAGGAAGATGTTTAAATATTTTTTAAACTTCTGAAAAAAGATAAAACTCCCGTTTTTTAAGAACATTGTATCTTTCTTTCATTTTATCCTTCTTTCTCCTCCAAATATATTAATAACTATCCTTCTATTTGTTACATTCTTTTACTTAAAGGGACTAAAGTATAAATCAGGTAATTAATACACAAAGCTTTATTCTGTCCCTTGCTTGTAGCACTACTTCATTCCAGTTTCCTCAGAGTTTATTATATAAATCAGACAGATTTGTAAATAAGTATTTTACAGTCTACATTTATTTGATTATGAAAATGGAAACAGAATAAAATGTGAACAGATAATAAACTTTACTTGTGTGTTTCTCCATCTTTTCAAGTTGATCAGGTATACGGATGGCATTTTAAATAATGTGTTAAATTTAGAGAATACATTAAATAGAAAAGAAAATTGTGGGAAATAGGAAAGCCTTTCCATTAAGGGTTTAGATATAAAATGTTCTATTCAGTTACAAACTAAACCGAAAATGAGAGGTTTTTTTTGTTTAACTGAAAGAGCTAGAGAGTAATTAAAGGTAATTGGCATGTTATTATTCTTAAAAGGTTCGCATTTCTGTTCTAAGAATACCAGGGAACAATTGAATAGATAAAAAGCAAACTATAAATTGCCAAATAGATCTTTTGTATAATAATACATCTCCCAAGACAAAAGATATTTCAGACCCATAAAAAATAAGGGAAGTGTATTTGCCTGACTGGTCTTGCATCTTGCCTGACCACAATGAATTTGCATTGGATTTTAAACTCACAGAATTATAAAATATCTTAATGTGTTAAGAGGGAATCAAAAGTGAATGTGATTAACTTGAAGGAACTAGTTGGCAGACTTTAACATTAGGCTAGCAGAAACTATTTAATAAATAAAACTGAAAGCAGAAAAATACTTTTCTTAAATAATTATTAGTGGCAGATTGATACTGTTAATATTATTGATTCAATCTGGGAAGTCCTCCCTCTTGCCCTTTCTCTACCCAGATCTTGCGTTCTTTTGCAAAATAAGAACAATACAAACTCATTATTATTATTATTATTATTTTTTTTTTTTTTTTTTGGAGACAGAGTCTCGCTCTATCGCCCAGGCTGGAGTGTAGTGGCGCGATCTTGGCTCACTCAACCTCCGCCTCCCGGGTTCACGCCATTCTCCCGTCTCAGCCTCCCGACTAGCTGGGACTGCAGGCTCCCGCCACCATGCCCGGCTAATTTTTTGTATTTTGTTTAGTAGAGACGGGGTTTCACCGTGTTAGCCAGGATGGTCTTGATCCCCTGACCTCGTGATCCGCCCGCCTCGGCCTCCCAAAGTGCTGGGATTACACGCTTGAACCACTGTGCCCGGCAACAAACTCATTATTAAGTCACTTATTTACTACTCTATTCCTCAATGAACTCTTTTGTAGACTTCTACCCCATCTATAACCAATGCAGTGGTACTCCTCCCTCTCATATTTAGTTTCTCAGCTCAAGTAAGACTTCCTCAGAGGTTTAATCTAATTAATCTTAATCTAATTAAAATAGAAACCCTTACCCATTTATTCTGTCCAAAGCAACATGTTTCCCCTCCCCTCCCCTTCCCCTCCCGTTCTCCTCCCCTTCTCCTCCCCTTCTCTTCCCCTTCTCTTCCCCTTCCCTTCCACTTCCTTTCCTTCCCCTTCTTTCCCCTTGCCTTCCTTCCTGCCTTCTTTCTTTTCCTTCTTTCTGTCTTTTCTAATACAAGGCTTGACCACTGGGGTAAAATTGTCAAAATGTAAAAAGGAGATAATTAAAAAATAAATAGTACCTAAGTAGTATGCTAAAATATACATGGGGCAAGATCATCTTTGCATTTTATCCTTGGGTGCATTCTGGACCACCTTAATCTTTTTTTTTCTTCCCTAAGACAGAGTCTCTCTCTGTCATGCAGGCTGGAATGCAGTGGCACCATGAAGACTCACTACAGCCTTCACCTCTGAGGCTCAAGTGATTAATCTTAAATAGTGCAATTATTCTATTTAATCACAAATGTCAGCATCTCTTTTCTTTAGTTTTGGCACATGATTTTCACCTTTTATCCTCTCTCTCTCTCTCTCTCTCCATGCTTCATTATATTAGTTCCCTAGGCTATCACAACAAATTGACACAAACTAAATGACTTCAACAACAGCAATGTATTCTAAAACAGTTCTAGAGGCTAGAAGTCCTAAATACAGTGAGGCCACACTCACTCTGAGGTCCCTAGAGAGAATCCATTCTGTGGATCTTCCAGCTTCTGGGGGCTGCCAGCATTCCTTTACTCATGCCAGCATTCCTTTACCCCAGCTTCTGGGGGTTGCACCACTCCAATCTCTGCTCCCTGGTCACAGGCCGAGGAGGGCGAATAACTTGAGGTCAGGAGTTTGAGACCAGCCTGGCTAACATGCTGAAACCCTTCCTCTAATAAAAGTATAAAAATTATCTGGGCATGATGGCAGGTGCTTGTAATCCCACTCCTCAGGAGGCTGAGGCAGGAGAATTGCTTGAACCTGGGAGGCAGAGGTTGCAGTGAGCAGAGATTGCACCACTGCACTCCTCCAGCCTGGGCGAAAGAACAAGACTCCATCTCAAAAAAAAAAAAAAAAAAAAGAAGAAGAACATTTGTCATTGAATTAAAGACCCGTGAGTATATTTCAGAATAAGCCCCTTCCCTTAAAGTCCTTAACTTAATCACAAGCATTGCCATATAAGGTAATATTCACTGTTTAACGTGTCATTATATTCAAAGATTCCAAGGATTAACGCGTCACATATCTTTTAGAAAAAACTATTCGGCCTAACTAAACTCGATGAGTCTTCATCTACTGACACTCAGGCTGAGTCAGATAAAAAGCTTTACAATATTCCACACCTCTCTCTACACGTGTTAAAAACAAGGAGAAAGAGTTTCTCTTAAAATTTTAAGTTCACTAAAAATAGAACAAAGCAGAAACAATTGAGGTTTTTGTGATTGTTGCTGTTTGTGTCTTTATTTTTAAAGATTCTACTTTGTACCATATATGCATGGTAAATTATTCATTATCATATCTGCTTTTTTTTTTCATTTGAAGTAATCATATTCCATGGAAAATATTTAAATTCCCAGGCATTGTTAGCTGTAGAGCTCATAAAATGTTCAATGCTTCAGTGAGTTGCAAATTGAAAACAGAAATAAATTCTTGGAGAAAAACTTGACAGTATTCTACACACTTTGCTCTTGATTGATGTCATGTGGTGATTCCAATAAATGACTTTTTTCAAACAAACTATAACTGATTTAAGTAAATGGGGGTGCAATGGTTCTTTCTTATAGATCTCATCTGCTGAGATGCTATACACAGAATTTCAATCATCTTACCCTATGATTTTTCAATGTTGTGTAAGAATGAATAATATTATTATTCATTATTATTTATTCTAAAAATAAAAATAATTATAATATTCATTATTCTAAAAATAAATTTTTTATTATTAATAAAATAACATAAGGATACATTTATTTATTTATTACAATTATGAAAATATTTAGAATGTACCATTTTCTAGGTAGTAAACTAGTGCTTCACATATTTTTGTTCATTTAATCTTTATTTTTATAAGTCAACAACTATAGATATTATTTTATATTATTTATACTTTATAACATATAATAAAGACATTTTAAAATATATATCAAATATATATTATAAAGTATTACATTATAAAATACTATATTTTATAAAGTAGATGACTATCGATATAGTCATTATATAGATGAATAAACTGAGGCATATTGTTTCTATAAAAACCTCAAGAGCGCACATAAAATAAATGCTGCAGTCAATGAGCCAAAACATCATACTAAGGATTTTGCTTCCAGAAGCTGCACTCTTAATTACTAGGCTCTAATGCCTCTTTTTATATAAATGATATCATACTGTTTGTTCTCTTTTGATCTAGCTTCTATTAATTAGCATATTTATTGAGATTAATCTATTTTATAGTATGGATGAAAGTTTCATTTATTTTATTGCTTGCAGTATTTCAAAATATGGATATATCAAAGCTTACTTATTCATTTATCTGTTAATGAATATTTGATTGTTACATGCTCTTCACTATTAGCCCCTCTCTCCTATAAAAAAGTGCTGTGAATGCTTTGGTACAAGTTTTTTATGTACATATACTTTCATTTCCCTACAAATTGATTGGCAGTCATATGATAGGTGCATACGTCAAAATATTTTAAAAACTGACAAGCCTTTTTCCAGAGTCATTGTACTAATTTCCATTACCATTAGCAGTGCATGTATGTTGGTTGTCCTCTATAGTTTTGCCAACACTTGGCATGACCAGCCTTTTTAACTTTAGCCATTCTTTTTTCTTTCTTTCTTTTTTTTTTTTTGAGACGAAGTTTCACTCTTGTTGCCCAGGCTGGAGTGCAATGGTGCGATCTCGGCTCACTGCAATCTACACCTCTCGGGTTCAAACAGTTCTCCTGCCTCAGCCTCCCAAGTAGCTGGGATATAGGCGTGCATCACCATGCCCAGCTAATTTTTGTATTTTTAGTAGAGATGGGGTTTCACCATGTTGGTCAGGCTGGTCTCGATCTCTTGACCTCAGGTGATCCACCCACCTTGACCTCCCAGAGTGCTGCGATTACAGGTGTGAGCCACTGCGCCTGACCTCTTTTTTTCTTTTTTGAGATGGGTTCTTGCTCTGTCACGCAGGCTGGAGTGCATTGGCACAACCAGAGTTCACTGCAGACTCCACCTCCTGGGCTCAAGTGATTCTCCCACCTCAGCTTCCGAGTAGCCGGTACTACAGGCATGTGCCACCATGCCTAGCTAAATAGAGACACCATGCTATGTCTCTTTCTTTTTTGTAGAGACAGGATCTCACTATGTTGCCCAGGCTGCTCTCTAACTCCTGGGGTCAAGAAACCCTGCTGCCTTGACCTTCCAAAGTGCTGGGATTACAGGCTTGAGCAACTGTACCCAACTCATTTTTGACAGACACAAATTAATTCCCTAATGACTAATGATATTGAGGATCTTTCCATGTGTTTACTTTCTATCTACATATGTTCTTTAGAGAAGAAGTATTCATTTAAGTCATTTGCCTACTTTTATTAGAGTTGCTAGATTTATTATCAAGTTTTGAGAGTTCTTACGTTTTCTGGACACAACTTTTTTGCCAGACATATATTTTGCAAATATTGTTCTCAGTAGTGTCTTATATTTCTATTTGTTTTACAGTGTTTCCTGAGGAACATATGTTTTACATTTTGATGAACTCGAGTTGTCAATTCCTAGTTTGATGAAACATGGTGTTTGTGTCATGTCTAAGTAGTATTTACTAGCCTGAGGTAAAATGCTTTTCTATATTTTCTCCTATACATAATTTTTCTTCCTTTTTTTTTCACTTTGTTTTTACATTTTACATTTAGGCATATGATCTGTACTAAATTAATTTTTGTATCATGAGTTACGTGTTAAGGTTCTACTTTTTGCATATGAGTATCTAATTGTTCCAGCAGAATTTGTTGAAGGGCTATCTTTTATTTACTGAATTACCTTTGTATCTTTGGAGAACACCAATTTACCAAAATTCTGTACATATATTTCTGAATTTTCTGTTATCTTCCAATGACATTTCTGTCTATCTTTATGCCAGTATCACACTATTTTCATTACTGTAGCCTCATAAGCTTTGGTATTAGATTGTGCTAATCCTTCAAATATATTCTTATTTTTAAGAATTATTTTGGCTATTTTAGACTCTTTGCATTTCTACTGAAGGTTTAAAATTAGTGTGTAAATTCCTATAAAACAATGCCTAATAATATTTTAATTGGGATTGTATTGAATCTATATTTAGGGATAATCACATTTTACCGTGTGAATTTTCTAACCCATATTCATATTACATCTTTCCATTTATTTAAGTCTTCTTTAACTTTCTGCAGTGTTTTGAGTTTTAGTGTACCAGACTCTCACATCATTTGGTAGATTAATTCCTAATTCTTCTACATTTTTCATGATATTATTAATAGTACTTTTATTTTAATTTTTTATTGTTCATTGCTGGTATATGGAAATATTAGTTTAATATGTTGCTTTTTTTCTTTTTTATGTTGCTAACTCACTTATTATAGCCAGCAGTGTTTTTGTAGATTTCAGTGGACTTTCTACATAGACATGCCGTCTATAAATAAAACCAATCTACATTTTCCTTTCCCGTCTGTAATTCTTTTGTTTATGTTTTTTGTCTATTTTACTTGGTAGAACGTCTAGTGGAATGTTAAAACAAAGTGCTAAGAGTTAATGGACTCATCTTGTTCCTGAAATAGGGGGAAATAAACTGATTTTTCTTCATTAAGTATGATGCCAGCTATTGTTTTTACATAGATATGTTTTATTAGGATATTCTTAAATTTCTTCTAGACAGTAATAACTTAGATCTTGTTTTATTGATCCAATCTGCTTTTAAATTGGTATATTTAGACCATTTATATGTAATGTGGTTATGTGTGCATATATATGTATTTTTTTTTCTTTTTTTTTTTTTTTTTGAGACAGAGTCTGGCTCTGTTGCCCAGGCTGGAGTGCAATGCGATGATCTTGGCTCACTGCAACCTCTGCCTCCTGGGTTCAAGCCATTCTCCTGCCTCAGCCTTCTGAGTAGCTGGCATTACAGGTGCCCGCCACCATGCCTGGCTAATTTTTTGTATTTTTAGTAGAGACAGGGTTTCACTATGTTGGCCAGGCTGGTCTCGAACTCCTGACCTCATGATCTGCCCACCTCAGCCTCCCAAAGTGATGGGATTATAGGCGTGAGCCACCGCACCTGGATATTTTTAGTTTTAAACCTATTATTTTGCTTTTGCTTTCTATCTTTCCTGAAGGAATTCAGAACCAGATACCCCCAAACATGCCACTTTGGCATATTGATTTTTTTGAGTTAAAGACACTTGAAAAATAGCAGATGCAAGAAAAACACTCTGATTTTCCTTTAAAGCACTCTGATTTTCCTTTTTCTTAAAAGTAGGAGGTAAAATTTCTACATGAAAGTTGCCCTCTTTATACAAGAAGGAAAGTAACAGTCTCATCACCCAGGATGAGAAGTTGAGGCAAGGGAAACCTGTACAAACAGACCTTGTTAAACCAACCCTTATCCTGTTAATCACCTCTTCACCCAATTAACTACACTAGTTCCAGCTCCTTTGTCTTGTCATATTTCACAATTTACTACTCTGTGTCTACTTCAGAACATAAGTGATTATGTCATGGAGTCTTCCTTCCTTAAAGAATCTCTCATGCCACATGATACATGTATTAAATAAATTTGTATGCATTTTCCTGTTGATCTGTCTTATATCAATTTAATTCTCAGGCTTAGCAGAGGAAAAAAAAAAAACTAAGAAGATGGTAATAAAATTTTGCTTCCCCTACCATCCCATCTGTTTTTTGCTTATTTTCCCTCTTGTTTGCCTTCTTTTCTATGAATTAAATATATTTTATGGTTTCATCTTATCTCCTTTTTTACTTGAGAATTAAAACTCTCTATATTGTTAATTTTAATGGTTGCTTTTGAGTTTGTAGTATACATGTTTAACTCATCACATTCTACCTTCAAATTATAATATACTACTTTACATACAGTATCATGAAGTAACAACATTTTCATTATTTTGTCCTAACTGTTGTTCTGTTATTGTCATGTAATTTATTTTTATATATGTTGTAAACTCATTATAAATTGTTATTATTCTTGTTTAAATTAGAGGTTAATAATGTTGTTTTCTTCTCTCTCTTTTTTTTTTTTTTTTTGAGACAGAGTCTAGCTTTGTACCAGGCTGCAGTGCAGTAGTGCCATCTCAGCTCACTGCAACCTCTGCCTCCAGGGTTCAAGCGATTGTCCTGCCTCAGCCTCCCGAGTAGCTGGGATTAGAGGCACATGCCACCACACCCAGCTAATGTTTGTATTTTTAGTAGATACGGGGTTTCATCATGTTGCGCAGGATGGTCTCAATTTCCTGACCTCGTGATCCGCCCATCTCGGCCTCCCAAAATGCTGGGATTACAGGCATGAGCCACCAGAACCGGACATGCTTTCCTTAAAAGCTAAATATTTTAGGCTTGTGTGCCATTAGGCTCTGTTACAACTACTTAATTCTGCTTTTGTAATTCTATAGCACCCATTGATAATACATAAACAAATGAGCATGAATGTGTCTCAGTAAAAATTTGTTCACATAAACAGGCAGTCCACCCATGAAGCTATAGCTTGCTGACCCCTTGTTTAAACAATCAATTGAATTCAAACAGAAATAAAAGGATCTTATATATTTAACCATGTTGATACCATTTCCAGTGCTTTTCATTCTTCTGTGTAGATCCAAATTTCCTTTTGATATTATTTTACTTCTGCCTGAAACACTTTCTTTAACATTTTTTATAGTGTTGTTTTACTGGTGTTGATTTCTTTCAGGTTCTAAGTGCCTGAACAAAATCTTTATTTCACCTACATCTTGAAAGATAGTTTCTCTGAGTCTACAATGCCCAGCTGACAATGTTTATCTTCCAGTACTTTAAAGATGTTGCTTCATTATCTTCTAATTTTCTTTGTTTCCAATAAAATGTTTGCTGGCATTTTTTGTTCCTCTGTGCAAACCGTGTTTTTGTCATTGGCTGCTTTGAGAATTTTTCTTTATCACTGGTTTTAAGCAATTTTATTTTAGTGTATTTTGTACACAAGACAAGGATGCCCTCTCTCACCACTCCTGTTCAACATAGTATTGGAAGTCCTTGCCAAAACAGTTAGGCAAGAGAAAGAAATAAAGGGTACCCAAATAGGAAGAAAGGACGTCAAACTATCCCTGTCTGTAGATTACATGATCCTATATGTAGAAAACTTTATAGGCCCAAAAGCTTAAGGCCCGAAAGCTCCTTAAGATGAAAAACACCTTTGGCAGAGTCTCAGGATACAAAAAGAACATACAAAAATTACTCGCATTCCCATACACCAACAAGAGTCAAGCGGAGAACCAAATCAGGAATGCAATCTGATTCACAATTGCTGCAAAAAGAATCAAATACCTAGGAATACAGCTAACTAGTGAGGTGAAAGGTCTCTATAAGAACTAAAAACACCAAAGATATCAGAGAGGATGAAACAAATGAAAAAACATTCTATGCTCATGGATAGGAAGAATCAATATCATTAAAATGGCCATATTGTCCTTATTTTCAAGTATGCTATTGCGCTCTATGACTGATCCAAACTCCTGCCAGATATAATTCCAAAAATCTGTTTGTTAATTTTATTATTTTATTTTTGGATTTCTAAATGCTTGGGAATTGGGAGATATGCACAATTGTCTTTGCTTTGTCCACAAAATTAAATGTGTATTTAGGTACTTATAGGACACTATTTGTAAAAACATTTATTTCTTCAGACATTGATGGTCTTGTCCCAGTTATTACCAACATCTACATGTTTAAGAATAAATTTTCTTTGCTATCTACTTCTTATTCCATTGAAAATTACCTTTCTATCCTCCTACTCTGGAAGTCTTTATGATTCTGTCCTAATCATTAGTATCCCATTGCTTCTTCAAGAGATGTCTATCAGTAGAATTTCTCCATTAATATAAGTTCATACTTCTATGAAAACTTTAAATCTCAAGTCTACAGTATTTCTAGTTCTAAAAAATATTTAAATTAGTTCTTTAATTATGTCCATCTTTATGTTTACTTTCCTTTTTTTCTAGCATTTTAAACAACTTTACGTCAACAATTCTTTATCTTCACTTTACCTCCCTTTACCTTTCTTCATTTTTTCCTAGCCATTGGATTCAGAGAAAATTATTCAACTTTTAAACTTCAAACTTGCTAGATCTATATTTAACTATGTCTATTGTTCTCTTCAGAACATCTGTTGAGTTTTTAATCCAAGAGCTATTATCAGTATTTTCTAAAATGCAACCTCCTCTTGCATGTCTCTGAAGATATGAATTACACTTACTGTAATTACATTTGTTTCTTGTCTTAATTCTGATTCTCTGAAATTACTTATTCTGTTTGCTAAGTTTTGTATCTTCTTTCTTGTTTTTCTTAAAAGTTGGGTGACAATATTTTACATGGGTAGTTTTTCTGTTAATCATAGCTTATCTCCAATGATTAGGAAAATAACAACTATGAAGTAGGACAAAGTAACCTGGTTTCTTGTGTTTTAGCATTGCTGCTCCCTGTTCCTTCCTGGTTTTGTTAATTACCTGAGACTCTGCCCTGTTGATGTTAGTCAGATTCTAAGACTCACCTTGCCAAGCAAGCACTGCTTTGTTATTCCAAAGTGAAGTTCATTCTTACTTTGTCTGGAAAGCAGTCTCTGCATCTTTTACCTCATTATTTCCCTCCTTTCATATTATGTTTCTTCCTTTACCAATTTTAATGGAGCTTCCCCTTTTTCATCTCTAAGATCTCCTTCTCTATCTCAAAAACAAAACAAAAAAACATTATCAGCATTAACATATACAACAGAGAGCTTCATTGATGTGGTTTGGCTGTGTCCCCACCCAAATCTCATCTTGAATTCCCATATGTTGTGGGAGGAACCTGGTGGGAGGTAATTGAATCATGGAGGTAGGCTTTTCCTGTGCTGTTTTCCTGATAGTGAGTAAGTCTCATGAGGTCTGATGGTTATTATAAGGGGGAGTTTTCCTGCACAAGCTCTCTTTGCCTGCTGCCATCCATGTAAGACATGACTTGCTCCTCTTTGCCTTCCACCATGATTGTGAGGCTTCCCCAGCTACATGAAACTGTAAGTCCAATTAAACCTTTTTTCTTTTGTCAATTGTCCAGTCTTGGGTATGTCTTTATCAGCAGCTTTAAAACAGACTAATACAGTAAACTGGTATCAGTAGAGTGGGATGCTGCTGAAAAGATACCTGAAAATGCGGAAGCAATTTTGGAACTGCGTAACAGGCAGGGGTTGGAACAGTTTGAAGGGCTCAGCAGAAGACAGGAAAATGCAGGAAAGTTTGGAACTTCCTAGAGACGTTTTGAATGGCTTTGACCAAAACGCTGATAATGATGTGAACAATGAGATCCAGGCTGATGTGGTCTCAGATGGAGTTGAGGAACTTGTTAGAAACTAGAGCAAAGTTGACTCTTGTTATGTTTTAGCAAAGAGACTGGCAGCATTTTGCCCATGCCCTAAAGATTAGTGAAACTTAGAACTTGACAGATGAATTAGGGTATCTGACAGAAGAAATTTCTAAACAGCAAAGCATTGAAGAAGTGACTTGGCTGCTTTTAAAGGCATTCAGTTTATAAGGCAAGCAGAGCATAAGAGTTCAGAAAATTTGCAGCCTGACAATGTAATAGAAGAGAAAAACCCGTTTTCTGAGGAGAAATTTAAGCTGGCTGCAGAAATTTGCATAAGTAACGAGGAACTGAATGTCAATCCCCAAGACAATGGTGAAAATGTCTCCTGGGCATGTCAGAAGTCTTCACAGCAGCCCTTCCCATCACAGCCTCAGAGGCCTAGAATAAAATGGTTTTGCTGGGCCCAGGGTCCCCATGCTGTGTGCAGTGTAGGGTGTTGGTGCCCTGCATCCCAGCCACTCCAGCTGTGACTAAAAGGGACCAAAGTACAGCTTGAGCTGTTGCTTCATAGGGTGGAAGCCCCAAGCCTTGGCAGCTTCCACGTGGTGTTGAGCCTGTGGATGCACAGAAATCAAGAATTGAGGTTTGGGAACATCTGCTTAGATTTCAGAAGATATATGGAAACACCTGGATGCCCATGCAAAAGTTTGCTGCAGGGATGGGGCCCTCATTGACAACCTCTGCTAGGGCAGTGAGGAAGGGAAATGTTGGGTGGGAGCCCCCACACAGAGTCCCTACTGGGGCACCGCCTGGTGGACCTGTGGGAAGAGGGCCACCATCCTCCAGACCTCAGAATGTTAGATCCACCAACAACACCATGTGCCTGGGAAAGCCACAGACACTCAACACCAGCCCACAAAAGCAGCCAGAAGGCAGGCTATATCCCTCAAAGCCACAGGGGCAGAGCTGCCCAATACCATGGGAACCCACCTCTTGCATCTGCATGATCAGGATGTGAGACATGGAGTCAAAGGAGATCGTTTTGGAGCTTTAAGATTTGGCTGCCCCTCTGGATTTCGGACTTGCATGGGGTCAAGAAATGAAAAGCATAAAAATTGAAAAGTGAAAAGAAAAAATATTTTTATTCACAGAACATATATATGTATATTGCATATGAAGAAAATCCTAATATATTTATTTAAAAAGCTGTGAATAATAAGAATCAAATTCAATAATGGTGCAGAATGTGTAGAATGCAAGGTCAATACACAAAATACAATATGGAAAATTAATGGAATTTCTAAATACTAGAAATAAACAATTGAGAATACATTTAAAAGTAAAATTTTAATGGTATAAAAATAGTTAAGAATAATTTAAGTGAAACCTTTAAAAATCTTTCACACTAAAACTTTTTAAAATTTCTTGTAGAGAAACATTACAGAAGACCTAAATAAATGTAAAGATCCACCATGTTCATAGATTTGAAGATGCAACATTGTTTGATGTGAATTCTCTGGAAGTTAATCTTTAGAATCAATGCAGTAGGGGCTGGGCGCAGTTGCTCACGCCTGTAATCCCAGCACTTTGGGAGGCCAAGGTGGGTGGATCACAAGGTCAGGAGATCAAGTCTATACTGGCTAACACGATAAAACCCTGTCTCTACTAAAAAAAAAAAAATACAAAAAAATTAGCCAGGCATGGTGGCACGGGCCTGTAGTCCCAGCTACTCAGGAGGCTGAGGCAGGATAATTGCTTGAATCTGGGAGGCTGAGGTTGCAGTGAGCCGAGATTGTGCCACTGCACTCCAACCTGAGTGACAAGGTGAGATTCTGTCTCAAAAAAAAAAAAAAAAAAAGCATCAATGCAATCTATAGTCTATAGTTTGTAATTTATTGACTACAATGAATTCTATATCTATTTACTGCAACTCTGTAGTAAATTGTGGCAAACATTTTGAGAGAAATTCACAAGCTGTTTCCAAAATTTGTTTGGAAAATTCATAGGACCTAGAATTTTGAGAAAAAAATAGAGCCAATTTTCAGACATCTAAGAAAGCTGCAGTATCAAAGCATCATAACACAAAAATAATAAGGATAAAGAAGGGTTCAAAATTCATAGGACCTAGAATTTTGAGAAAAAAATAGAGCCAATTTTCAGACATCTAAGAAAGCTGCAGTATCAAAGCATCATAACACAAAAATAATAAGGATAAAGAAGGGTTCAAAATTAGACCTCCACCTATGCAGTAAATTAAATGTTTATAAGGGCATGTAGATAATTCAGTGGGGAAAGTAAGTCTTTAACACAGGCTTTTGAAATAAATGCATTCTCATATTTAAAAAATACATGCATCAGTCCTTTGTATACACAAAACTAGTCCAATATTTTTAACGTAGGCATAAAAATGAAAAAGCAAAATTCAGAAAGCTTTTAAAAGAAAAAAATTAAACAATATCTGCGAGCTATTATAATAGGAAAAATATTTCTGAACAGAGAAAGCACTATCATAAGAGTAAAAATTGATAAATTGTAGATATTAATTAAAAATGTATCCTAATAAAACTGCAAAATGTAAGAAAATATAATTTTAAGCCATAGACTGTGATAAATTATTCCATATATGTATGAGAAAAAAATTGCGTGTTCAAAACGCACAGAGTACTCCTGAGATCCACTAAATAGTTATAAGAATCTTGAACAGGTATTTCACAAAACAAGAGATACAAGTGGCTTATAGGAATGTGAAAAGATGCTCAATATTATTAGATAAGGGGAAACACAACCAAAATGCATCGAAACTGGAAAGACTACCATTTAAAATGATAATACTAATATTGGCAAATATGTGGGGAAACTAGAAGTCGTGTCTATTTCTTGTGAGAGTGTAAAATAGAACAACTGGCTGGGCGTGGTGGCTCATGCCTGTAATCCCAGCACTTTAGGGGGCCGAGGCGGGCGGATCACGGGGTCATGAGATCGAGACTATCCTGGCTAACATGGTGAAACCCCGTCTCTACTAAAAATACAAAAAAAAAAAAAAAAATTAGCCGGGTGTGGTGGCGGGCGCCTGTAGTCCCAACTAATCAGGAAGCTGAGGCAGGAGAGTGGCATGAACCTGAGAAGTGGAGCTTGCGGTGAGCCCAGATCACGCCAGTGCACTCCAGCCCAGACGACAGCGCGAGACTGTGTCTCAAAAAAAAAAAAAAAGCAGAACAACCGCTTTGAAAAATAATTCGCTTCTCAATAAGGTCAACATACATCTACCCTATAGCACAGCAATTTCAATTCTAGAAATTTATCCAACAAAAATAAAAGCATATATTTACACAAAAACCTGTTTGAGAATGCACCTAAGTCCTTTATTTGTAAAAGCTAATTCTGGAAGCAATCTGAATATTCACTAACAGACTAATGAATAAGCAAACTCTGACAAATACATAGGCAACTCAGAAATGTGAGGAAAAATAAACAAACGATACACACAAATATTTGGCTAAATCTCAAATATGTATTTATGCTAAAGAAAATAAACCAGATACACACTCACACACACATCCTGTAGGAATTCTAATTATTGGAATTTGAAGATGAACAAAATTAATCAATCATGATAGAAATTATAAGGGTTTAATCCGAGTTATTTGGGATGCTGAAGCCGGAGAATCGCTTGAACCCGGGAGGCGGAGGTTGCAGTGACCTCACATTGTACCACTGTGTGGGGAAAAGCAAGAGAGATCAGATTGTTACTGTGTCTGTGTAGAAAGAAGTAGACATAGGAGACTCCATTTTGTTATGTACTAAGAAAAATTCTTCTGCCTTGAGATTCTGTGACCTTACCCCCAACCCCGTGCTCTCTGAAACATGTGCTGTGTCAACTCAGAGTTAAATGGATTAAGGGCGGTGCAAGATGTGCTTTGTTAAATAGATGCTTGAAGGCAGCATGCTCCTTAAGAGTCATCACCACTCCCTAATCTCAAGTACCCAGGGACACAAAAACTGCGGAAGGCCGCAGGGACCTCTGCCTAGGAAAGCAAGGTATTGTCCAAGGTTTCTCCCCATGTGATAGTCTGAAATATGGCCTCGTGGGAAGGGAAAGACCTGACCGTCCCCCAGCCCGACACCCATAAAGGGTCTGTGCTGAGGAGGATTAGTAAAAGAGGAAGGAATGCCTCTTGCAGTTGAGACAAGAGGAAGGCATCTGTCTCCTGCCTGTCCTTGGGCAATGGAATGTCTCGGTATAAAACCCGATTGTATGCTCCATCTACTGAGATAGGGAAAAACCGCCTTAGGGCTGGAGGTGGGACCTGCGGGCAGCAATACTGCTTTGTAAAGCATTGAGATGTTTATGTGTATGCATATCTAAAAGCACAGCACTTAATCCTTTACATTGTCTATGATGCAAAGACCTTTGTTCACGTGTTTGTCTGCTGACCCTCTCCCCAAAATTGTCTTGTGACCCTGACACATCCCCCTCTTCGAGAAACACCCACAGATGATCAATAAATACTAAGGGAACTCAGAGGCTGGCGGGATCCTCCATATGCTGAATGCTGGTTCCCCGGGTCCCCTTATTTCTTTCTCTATACTTTGTCTCTGTGTCTTTTTCTTTTCCAAATCTCTCGTCCCACCTTACGAGAAACACCCACAGGTGTGTAGGGGCAACCCACCCCTACACCACTGCACTCTAGCCTGGGTAACAGAGTAAGACTACGTCTTAAAACAAACAAACAAACCAAAGAAATTATACAGGTTTGCCTCTGAAGAAGAGAAGTTTGAATAAGCACAATAGTATTTTCTAGATTTAGTGTAATTAGGTAAATATATCAATTTATAAAAAGTACGAAACCACATTTTTGACACGTTTATTATATTTAAAATATAGCGCAATAAAATAAGGTTAGGAAATGATTGCATATTACTCTCTGAGAGGAAGAATGTTATCTGTTGGTAGAATTAATAAAGTTACTCATTTCTTATAAGAAGTAAAGATATATTGGCCGGGTGCGGTGGCTCATGCCTATAATCCCAGCACTTTGGGAGGCTGAGGCAGGCGGATCACAATGTCAAGAGATTGAGACCATCCTGGCTAACACGGTGAAACCCTATCGCTACTAAAAATACAAAAAATAAGACGGGCATGGTGGCGGGCACCTGTAGTCCCAGCTATTCAGGAGGCTGAGGTAGGAGGACAGCGTGAACTTGGGAGGCAGAGCTTGCAGTGAGCCGAGATCATGTCACTGCACTCCAACCTGGGCTGCAGAGTGAGACTCCATCTCAAAAAAAAAAGAAAAAAGAAGTAAAGATATATCTATTAACCTGTATAGGTATATATAAGCTAAAAACAACCATTCAACTTTTGTGGGCATAGTAGTCTGTGTCAGGCATTTTTGTATAAATCATAAACATTTAATTCTCATTCAAATAATAAATATATTATCTCACGGTTATAAAGGTATAATAAGTACAATTTTAAAAAATAGACAAACTTTTCTGAATATTTCCAGTACAGTGGTATATCATTTTTTTCCGATAGAATAAATAGAAAAATACTCAAACCCTGGGTAATATTTTGCAGAAAATGAATTAGTTACACTTATTCAAGTTGAATTATTCTAGTTCCTCAATTTTATATTCCAGAAAAATATATGCTGACTATATTTTTAATGCTTTTTTTTTTTAGAGAAGTTTGTTTATTGATATGTACATCACTTTTACTAATTCAGGTTTGAGCAAAGTGTGACTCTTTATTCAATTTTCCAAAGAGTTCCAAACCAAAACTTGTGGATTTCCAGTTGATCTGTATATCACCTTGCCACCTCTGGCTTTTTTCTCTCTAATACAGGTATAAGAATAACATTTAACAATAAATGATTTGTGAAGCCAGTTGAAAAATGTTCATGCTATATTAATCAACTTGATAAAATGCATTAAATTTATGAATTTCTATAGGTTTGTTAGTGCCTGGAATCTGTAGGTAGAGACACCCATAAAAAAGTCTTATAATATAAGCTATATAACTTAGTGAAAAATCAATAAGGCATACTAATGTTTGCATAGGATGACAACCTGGTCATATTAATTTTTCTGAGAAAATAATCTCAAATGAAAAATCACTTCCCTAAAGCATTATTTGTTTTTATATCAGATTTATTTCAGTTCAACCAACATTGCACGCTCTAAGTATTAGACATTGTGATTGGTCCTGGGAATGCTAAGATAAAAATTTCTCCTTTTCTAACCTTGAATTCACAGAGAGGTAGAAGCAAGAGAAGCATAAACATATAATTTCAATGCAATATGGTAAGTAAAATGATAGTGGTACTTTTTCTGAATTTTCAGATATCAATTATTTATTTATAAACAGTTCTTTAGAGGGTGATTTATTTTCTCTATAGACGTCAACAAGATACACTTGCCTTGTATGGCAAAAATAAATTAATTTTAGCTTTGTGCAGATACATCCTATTGAGTTACAAAGTGATGCTATCAAACACCATTGACAACAACAAATTCAGGATTTATGGCTCTCTTTGTCTCTGTTTCTCTCTCCTTCTCTCTCTCTCTCTCTCTGTGTGTGTGTATGTATATACATATATGTATATTATACATACATAGTTTAGGATACATGTGTATTCATATATAATTTTATTTTTTAGAACAAAATTAAAAATAAAGTGTCTTTAAATGAAAGTCTGTGTTTGTAACACAATCTTATGACATCAGCATTAAAAAGGCTATTCAGAACACTTCCTCAAATTGAAACTATTACCAATACTGAGTTAAATATTTTAGGACTACTTCATTATCTAGGAAATTTGAGAAGCAAATTAACTCTTTTCTCAGAGTATTGTGATACCATATCTTTTCTTGTAAAATAAGATATTGTTTAATTATAAAATATTGTCAAATTTCTGAAAAAGTGTTTATATAAGTGTTAGGAATATGTTAGCCCTGGGAGCCATGTGTTACTTATCATTGTACAGATCTTCTTGCTGACACAACTGGGTATGGTAGACGGCCTGATATGATTAACTGCAAGTAAAGCAGAAATTATTAAAAACAATATTGAGGCCAGGCAAGGTGGCTCATGCCTGTAGTTCCAGCACTTTGGGAGGTCGAGGCAGGTGGATCACGAGGTCAGGCATTCAAGACTAGCCTGACCAAGATGGTGAAACCCCGTCTTTACTAAAAATACAAAACTAGGTGGGCATGGTGGTGGGTTCCTGTAATCCCAGGCTGAGGAAGATAATTGCTTGATCCCAGAAGGTGGAGGTGGAGGTTGCAGTGAGTCGAGATCACACCACCGCACTCTAGCCTGGGTGACAGAGTAAGACAACGTCTCAAAAACAAAAACAAAACAAACAAACAAACAAAAATTAAATTAACTGGATGTTAAATGTGGTTTCTTTACATTTACCAGAATTTCTGCCAAGGTCCTAATGGCCCCAAATAATAGGTGCTACATTATCAAGCAGATATATCAAGAGATTGTGATAATGTTAATGAAACCCCTTTGCTCATCACTCATTTCCAAAATTTATATTTTCAAAGGGAATTTCGTACAGAGTTCCTAAAAATAGGGATCATGATGCCAGTGTATTGCCTCACTGATTGCTGAATGAAGAGGACTATACTGAAGCATTCAAAGAACGTGATGTGCCTCTGGAGCAACTGAAGGATTGCTATCTGACTTATGCATTTAAAACCTTCGAAGTGGAAGTTTGTCTGGAATGGCTTAGGCAAACAGGCTGGGTTGGATTGAGAATTGAATGTATACATAAAATTTGGTTTGGTCAGATGAGAACACCAAATGTGGTAGCTAGCTCACCTTTATTTATGAGATTTTTATTGGGTTGATTTGTCTTGAAAGAATCAAATCTAAGAGAAATGTTTGGAATGGCTAGATGATCCTAACAGAAGAAATCTTACAGGTCTTTACTGCTAAACCTAAGGAGATGAGAGTAAACAGTAAGTGGCCAACTCAAAGAAGCATGGACTATGTTGAAACATGGACTATAGCTGCAATTTCCCAGTGGTGCAGTTTTCAAGCGTTTTACCCCAGGAAAGAAAAAAATAAATAAATGAAAAGTAGCCATTTCACCATTCAGAGGATAGAGACTGTTGCCCAGTGAAAACTGCATGAATTATGTAATAGTTTTATGCTTGTTTCCCCCACTCACCATTCCAAAACTATAAGACTTCAAGATAGAACAGGAGGTATGAAATTTTAACAGCACATAAAAAAATAGTGAACATTCTATCCCCGCACTTCATTGCCATTACTAAGGCTAAGGCAGGACTGAGTTTAGAATGCAGCAAAGCTTTGAAATGTATAAGAGATAATATCTCTAATATTCAAATGCACCATAAACTCAAAACTTAGAATCAATCCTATTTTTAAAATACTGAATGTGACAAGAAACGTTATAAAAGTTTTCAAGATATCAGTATATGATAGAAAGAGATGTATTGCTTTAGCACAAATCATTCTACAAAAAAAAATTCTTCTGAAATAAATTACTTATCCATATCCTACAAATTTTCTTTTTTCTTTTTCTTTCTTTTTTTTTTTTTTTTTTTTTTGAGACAGAGTTTCACTCTTGTTGCCCAGGCTGTAGTGCAGTGGCTTGATCTCAGCTTACTGCAAACTCTGCCTTCCGGGTTCAAGCAATTCTCCTGCCTCGGCCTCCCAAGTAGCTGGGATTACAGGTGCCAGCCACCATGCCCAGCTATTTTTTTGTATTTTTAGTAGAGATGGGGTTTCACCGTGTTGGCCAGGCTGGTCTTGGATGCCTGACTTCAGCTGATCCACCGGCCTTGGCCTCCCGAAATGCTGGGATTGCAGGCATGAGTTGCCGTGCCCAGCCACAAATTTTCTTTTACCTTGGAAAACATATATGCAAATATACTTGTCAACTATCCGACAAAGGTCTTCAGTATGTATGTATGGATTCATTGAACTTTGTTTCTTTTTACATAATGAATATTTTATGATTTTTAGCTTTGGTTTTTTGAAATGAACCAATAAATTGAAGAGACACAAGAAGTAATATGTGTGTAAATACCAGCACGCTTAGCCCCTCAAATAAACCTCTTACAGGTGTCTGACTCCTAAATCCAATTTGATATTTTTTCAGAACTTGTCTTTATCAATTATTTACATTCTGCTTCATTTTCTGATTTGTTTTTTTACTTTCACACTCACTTATCATTGTTTTACACAATAGTTGTTTACTACAGTAACAATTATATCTGACATAAATGTACTGAGGAACAAAACAACCATCTTATGGCATACAAATTAGCAATGGGAGAAGGCTAACCCCAAACATATGCCAAGCCAGGGGCCAGGAAATCCAGGGATGTGGTTAGGCAGAAACTGGGAAGACACTTTATAGCGATTCCTATCTTTGTTACAGACATAAAGGAGATAAATTATAATATGAAAAAATGGCCCTCGCAGTTCTAAAGAGATTAACTAAAAGTCTAGTACCTTTTAAAGATCTGAATAGGAAACACTTGTCATTTATTGTCTCTAAGGGCAGCCACTGTAAGACTTCAAAAGAACCTTGGTCTCCACAGTCTTTTATCTTAACCTGAACATTCCCTTTCTATCAATCCCAGGTCTTGAATCAAACTCAACCAATTATCAACCAGAAAATGTTTAAATTCACCTATAGCCTGGAACCAACCCCCAAACCCCAATACCCTCCCATCCCCCAACCCGCCTGCCAGCCCCAACCCCTCCCACCCCCACTCCCTCTGCTTTGAGTTGTCCCACCTTTCTGGATCAAACTGATGTATTTCTTAAGTGTAGTTAATTGATGTCTCATGCCTCTCTAAAATGTATAAAAGCAAGCTGCATCCCAACCACCTTGGGCACATGTTCTCAGGACCTCCTGAGTGCTGTGTCACTGGCCGTGGTTACTCATATTTGGCTTAGAATAAATCTCTTCAAATATATTTTTTTAAAGAAGAAAGAAGGCCGGGCGCGGTGGCTCACGCCTGTAATCCCAGCACTTTGGGAGGCCGAGGCGGGCGGATCACGAGGTCAGGAGATCGAGACCATCCTGGCTAACACGGTGAAACCCCGTCTCTACTAAAAATACAAAAAATTAGCCGGGCGTGGTGGTGGGCGCCTGTAGTCCCAGCTACTCGGGAGGCTGAGGCAGGAGAATGGCATGAACCCAAGAGGCGGAGCTTGCAGTGAGCCGGGATAGCGCCACTGCACTCCAGCCTGGGCGACAGAGTGAGACTCCGTCTCAAAAAAAAAAAAAAAAAAAAAAAAGAAGAAAGAAAAAGGAAAAACAAATGCTTTTGCAGAAGCCAAGAAGAAAGTGAAGGGAAATAAATGAGAGTGGAAAAATGAGAGATCAATTGTGGTGAGATATACTTTTTTTGGCAATTAATTGCAACCAGTGCCCAAAATGCCAATTATAACATAGTTTGCTATCTACCATTGCTTTATTTAACTGAAGTATTCAACCATAGATATGGAAAAAAGACTGACCTAGTTTAGAAAAGTTCTATCCTGATACATTTAAGCACTAGAGAGTATGCACAAATAAAAACACAAACTTAACTTTTCTTAAAAACTTTTACTGAGTCAAATATTAAAAGAGAACACTAGTTTGTAAAGCATCTCATGAAGTTGATTTTTGATTTTTCAGTCCTTCAGTAACTAATAATCTTTATTTTGACATTGATGGTTATCCAATGGAAGAATAACTGCAAGATATTAATAATAGAAATCATTTGCATCAGCCGGGTACAGTGGCTCACTCCTGTAATCCCAGAACACTGGGAGGCCAAGGTGGGCAGATCACTTCAGCCCACGAGTTGGAGACCAGCCTGGGCAATGTGGCAAAACCTTGTTTCTACTAAAGATACAAAAATTAGCTGGGCATGGCGGCATGTGCCTGTAGTCCCAGTTACTCAGGAGGCTGAGATGGGAGGATTGCATGAGCACACTGCACTTCAGCCTGGGCAACATAGTAAGATCCTGTCACAAAAAAAAAAATCATTTGTGTCAAATGATTTTTGTATCAAAGCTTTCAGAAAAAGGAGTGGAAAGAAAATTTAAAAAGCTTTTGTCCATCATTCTTAGATGTCATATTCAAGTAAATATTTCTTCAGACTTAATAAAAAAAATTGAACAATAATAACAAGTGTGATTGTATTTCCATTAACCTGAAATTTACTGCTATTTCAAATTCTACTCAATTTAGAGTTTTTAAGATTAAAAACAGGAAATATTAAATAGAAGTTACAATATTTTTGAAGTAATTGGTGAGAATTTGTTTAATAATGCCTATGTATTTGGTAATTTGATCTTAGTTCTACAAATTTCACTATCACAAACTCTTCCCTGTCCGTTACCTCAGCTACAAGATTTATCAGACTGTCAATGACAACTATGTCACATATGGTAGTGCCCTTTGCTTTAATGAGGGTGATTAGCTAAAATTGATGTTCATTGCCTTAGTACAGATATGCTATATTTAGATATATTTAACTCTATTACACATACTGCAAACACATACTCTTGTTGTCTTCTACACTATTATATATTTTACTTGTTATAGTAGATATTTATTTTAGATGAATAACTAAGTATAATAAAATAGATAGCAGAGGAATTAATTATCTCACATGGATATCATTTCACCTGATCTTGATGAACAAGGAAATGGGTGATTTACCCAGGAATAAATATAAAGTTCTGTATGGTTTGGAAAGCACAAATGGTCACCTAATTTTGAAACACTTTAGGTAAATTCCCATTCAGAAAAACATTTATCACTTATATAACTAATGAAATGCTTAGGGGAAAGTGTTTTGGCTGTCAAAGAACCATACTTTGCTTTTAGAGACTATGTTTGTATTTGAATATTTCATAAAAACTATTTCTAAGCCAAGGAAAAAAAAACCAAATAAACAGGCAAAGATCTATTATTGAAAGTGAAATATTTACATATAACCGTAGTTAGAAAAGAAGTGGAAATCAGTATGTGATTTCAGATGATTGCATATTTTATAACTATTAGGGTTAAAGTGCATTAGAGCTTCCTGTTTGCCAGTTGCTGAGAGGCTTTGATTCAGAGGTAGCATCTGTACAAAAAGATACTGCCATTTTTATGGTAAATGCTTTTTAAATTGAACTAGAAAGTAAATAGTCACACATTTTGAAAAAAATATGAATTTTTAAAAGTCTGTGTTTGAACATCAATAAAGAAACAAATGTAACTATGAATTAAGAGAAATCTAGAAATACTTTATTTAAACAAAAACATTGCAAACATTTATGTCATAATATTTACTTTCTTAAAATAGAAACAAAAGCAGTTGGAGATTTAATTCACTATAAGAAAGAAAAGCTTTTGTACATAATGTTTTCTAAGGTAGTAAATGTAAACCTAAGTAACATGGCATGGAATGAAAATAAATTACTGAGAATGGCTTTGTATTGATTACGTATGTTCTGAAATTTTTCCGTATTGAAACAAATCTACACAGTGGAGGAAAATATGTACTTAAAACTGGCATCTGATGTGATTAGTGTATTACATACAAACAAATTTGCAATAGTCTCTGAAGAGAAAATGAGATTTCTACCTTTTCCATTTCCAATTCAGTCCAGTCATTTTTGGTGTATTTCTCTGATAGTGTCTCTATTAAAATGTAATTTATTTTATTTTATTTCTATAAATTTATGGAGTGCAACTGTAATTTTGTTACATCCATAGGTTGCATAGTGAAGTCAGGATGTTCAGCATATTCATCACCTAAAAAGCATACCTTGTACTCATTAAGTAATTTCTTATCATTTACTCCCCTCTCACTCTCCCCCAACTCTTCCAAGTCTTCATGTCCAAGTCTCTATCATTGCACACTCTATGTCCATGTGAATGCATTAATTACCTCCCATTTATAAATGAGAACATGCAGTATCTGTCTTTCTGTGTCTGACTTTCATCTAAGATAATGTCCTCCAGTTCCATCCAAACTGCTCCAAAATACATGTTTCATGAGTATATTATTTTTAAAGGCTGAATTGTATTCCACTGTGTATATCATCATATTTTCTTATCTTTAGGTGGAAATCTTTTTTATTATACTTTAAGTTCTGGGGTACATGTGCAGAACTTGCAGGTTTGTTATGTAGGTATACACGTGCCATAGTGGTTTGCTGCACTCATCAACCTGTCATCTACATTAGGTCTTTCTCTAAATGCTATCCCTCCCCTAGCCCCTCACCCTCTGACAGGCTGTGGAGTGTGATGTTCCCCTCCTTGTGTCCATGTATTCTCATTGTTCAGCTCCCACTTATGAGTGAGAGCATGCAGTGTTTGGTTTTCTGTTCTTGTGTTAGCTTGCTGAGAATGATGTTTGCCAATTTCATTCATGTCCCTGCAAAGGACATGAAATCATCATTTTTTATGGCTGCATAGTATTCCATGATGCATATGTGCCACATTTTCTTTATCCAGTCTATCGTTGGTGGGCATTTGGGTTGGTTCCAAGTCTTTGCTATTGTGAACAGTGCTGCAATAAACATATGTGTGCATGTGTCTTCAGAGTAGGATGATTTATAATCCTTTGAGTATATACCCAGTAATGGGATTGCTGGGTCAAAAGGTATTTCTAGTTCTAGATCCCTGAAAAATTTCCACACTGTCTTCCACAATGGTTAAACTAATTTACACTCCCACCAACAGTGTAAAAGCATTCCTATTGCTCCACATTCTCTCCAGTACCTGTTGTTTTCTGACTTTTTAGTGATCTCCATTCTAACTGGAGTGAGATGGTACCATCTCACATTTTCTTTATCAAATCATCTATTGGTGGACACTTAGGTTGATTCAGTATCTTTGCTACTGTGAATAGTGCTGGGATAAGTGCTGGTACGTTTATGATATAAGGATTTCAAATAGACTGTAAGAGTGTAAAAAGTTTCCACTGAACTTTGGACTGGAAATATGATAAGAGAAGATCCTTTCACTAATAGAGGCAGAGCGTTAAGAGATAAAATCAATAACTAATTTTATGCTGCACTAAACAGGGAAGAAAGAGAAAGTGAGTAAAAAGCAAGTTTTGTGGTTGGTCAGGTTTTGGATTACATAACGAAAATAGACAAACATACTTTATTAAGCATATTGCATAACCTATGCTACTTTCAGCTTATTTATATTCATTTAATCCCTCATTCAACTTAATATAATATCCTCTTTTCGTTCCTGGCTTTCTACCTGCCTGTTCTCATTCATTAACTTGTTTTAGCCAATGAGTCATGAGTAGCTACTCTGTTCAGGCATTGTTCTCAGTTCTAGTGATACAGTAGCATACAATTTTAACAAAATATCGCCCTCATGAAGCTACATTTTAGAGGAAGGAACTCAGTGAACACGTCAACAGAAAAATATAAAATATTTTAGAATACAAATAATTGGTATGAAGGAAAACCAGTCAAATGAGGGGTAAGACATATTCAAGGTAGAGAACAATCTACAATTACACTGAGCCCTGAACAAAGAGAGAAAATAAGCTATACATAAATTTGGGGAAGAACATTTCAGGAAGAGGGAAGTGTACAGGCTCTAATGAAATCAAAAAGCTAGTGTATTCCAAAAAGAGCAAAAAATCATTATGCTTGAAATTGAATTGAATGAGCAATGAGAAGAATAGTAAAAATGAGATCAAACAATAATCTAGAGCTAGATCAGAAAAAAGTCTAAAAGCTAAAATGAAGGTATGCATCTTATTCTAGAGTGTGAAGAGATCTGATCAGGAGAACTACATGATCTGATTACTATTTCAAAATAAGGATTCTTGATGCTATTTGGAAAATGATGGCCTACTATAATGATAAGAGATTATTTTAAATATGTAGTAATGAGATAAAATTACATGAATGAATGTTTTTATTTATAATGAGCATACCAGTGTGTAGCCTCTTTAGTACTTGTATACTTGGAAGCAGTTTATTCTCTGAATATTTTTTTTTATTTCTTCTCTAACTTGTTTATTCTTTTTAAATTTAATGTCAATATAATATGTTTTAACTTTAAAAATTTAGGTGCTTTATGAGTGGAATCTCAGTTAAAAAATGTTATTATTCAGTAGGTACTAAATTGAGTTCCTGTTTTACTTTACAAACCAAGCACCATAGGTTATTACAGAAAACCATTATAAGTCAAATTTTTAAAAAGTTTCTTCAGTGAAGTAGACATTACAAAAGTTATATTTAAACACAACACTATGAACTCAAGTCACAGAGGCAAAGAGAAACTATTGTATTTGCTTTGAGCATCTACACATTGTAAAAAAGGTTATTGAATGCAATTCAAATCTAACTTCATCTGAGGATAACCCCAGGCACTTTGTGCCTGTATTTCTTGTAGTTTTGTACTGACTATTGGAAACTCATTCAGTTTTGCCTTAAAGCACCCAGTAACCTATGAACAAAATGCATAAAAACTATTACATGATGTTCAGCCTTTGTAGACCAAACACAACAGGTATATGCAATTGCATAGTGCTGATGACTCACAAAAACAAAACAAAACAAAACAAAACAAAACAAAACAAAAAACTCTGTCCTCAGACTGATTTGTGAAAATAACTATTTAATCTAAAAATAAACTAAAGAGTGAAAATGAGAATTAGCAAATAGAGTTGAAGGTGTGTCTCAAAATGGATTGTATTTTATATAGCCTTTTACTATAATTATTCTTATAACAGGGCTTGTTTTCCTCTATTAGACTGCAAATGTGTTGGTTACTGAGGCGGTTGCACTTGTTTTTGTATCACTTATGAAACCTAGTATAGTGCTTTGTATTATAGTAATCCTTCATTAGATATTATGTGAATGATTTGAATTATATTTCATAGTAGCTCAAAGTTAGTCTTGATGGATAAATGAATGTAATACAACCATATACATTATTAGTAAGGAACTTAATATCATGAAGTATCTTTAACCAAAGTAATAATTAAAAAGTAGGAGTAAACCATAATAAGTTCAAATTTAGAATTTGATAGATAATGGAGATTACTTTTTAGGCCTAAATATTGAAGGATAGATGTTTATGAAACTTTGAGGTTCAAATTATTTGTAGAAATGTTTATTTAATATTATATTCAAGATATTAAAATGACAACAACAGGAAAATGTATAAGAGATTTGTTAAACACATCCTGAAAGCATGGAAATAACCATATATCTTAGCCTAATGCATGAAATAGTATAGCAAATATAAGCAGGATGTTTTCATTTTTATTTTAAAATTGTGTTTATCACTGGATAGGGATAATAAATTTATTCTATTTATTTTTTGCTGTTAAACATATACTTTAATAAACTAAACACATTTGTTTCTGCAGTGGATGGAAATATGTTTGTCACAGGTAAAATTGTCACTTGGGTAAATTTTATCTCAAGCAACTCCTTTTTAGTTTTAATACTTTCTATGTTGCCCAAATCAAGTCTTATTTCCATGAATCACTGTTTTATGTAATAATTTTCTTGGTGAGGTCAATTTACATAGTTTTGGTACTTTCATGTCAGATTTCTAAGGTAGTATAATTTAGTTTAGAGGAAGAATTTCTACACAGATCATGTAATTGTCTCTTCATTATATATCAGGGTAAAATCTATAAAAAACAAAATTGGTTTGAGAACAAAGCTGTCATTACTTGCAAGATGAAAACAGAAAAATTGCATGTGTTTATTAAAACACAGAAGTATATTCCTGTGCAAATTAATGCAGATTCTGAAGTGAAAGACAGGACTTTTGAGAGATTTTGAGTCCAAGGGTTCACCTCTTCAAACACAACTGAAAAAACTCTATTTTTTTTATTTTTAAATCTAATCAGTTTATATATGCCCAGGTCCAGCAAAAAGAAGCTGGGTTGATAATGTGTTTTGCAGTTATTCAAGCTAGTTTGAAAGAGTACCTAGCAGTGATTGTGAAGACCAATGATTGTGCTACTAAGGTCTCTCAATTGCCAGACACCCACCAAGTATTTTTTAAATATGCTATTCTGTTTTGAAACTCAAAACCTTGTATTTTTGTTAATCTAGTTACCTGCCAAATCAAACAGGAATCCAAAGTTTCATAACCCTGCTGTGTTCTCTGGTTACTAGAAATAAGCATATTTTTGATGTTTTAACAACCTTTTAAAATAATAATTTCTAATAATGAAATAGAATATTTGTATTTTAAGTAGCTATTGGGTATATCTTTACATAACTAGATGATTATATTAAATGGGTTTTTTAGATGAATGATGTGCATGCGTAGATAGTTTTAAAATGAAATATGTTTTTTCCTTTTTTACTTAAATTTCTTTTTAGAACATACTGTTATGAACATTAACATTTATTCAAGTCCTTGGGACAATTCTTCTTCAGTTACCCAGTAAAATTTTCATGATCTCTGCAAAACATAGAAATATAAAATAACATAAATTTTAGAATACAGTGAGATGACTTACACAATTTGATAATATTTTATGATTAACCAGTTAACTGAAACCTAAAAACCTGTATTAACTGATTAATATTGCAGCAAAATGTCAGTTCATGTTATTGTATCAATCACTTGTGGATACATGATTATGCTGTCGTGATATGATTTCTAACAATTGTCTTGTCATTTTTAGCTTTTACTATTATAATTTTAATTAAAATATATTAAAGTCACTATGTCATAACAGACTTTATATTGTGCCATGCAGTCCTATTGCTCTTTTGTTTCAAATATCATATAGTCTAAAGCAATGATTCTCATTAAATACATGCATCAAAATCAACTGCAGTTATTACATGCTAACTCAAACTTACAAAATCAAGCTCTCTGTGATCCTGGTTAATACATCTAAGTACTTGAGCTGATAATCCAAGTACTTTGGGGGGTCGAGGTGAGAGGATAGCATGTGGCCAGAAGTTCAAGACCAGCCTGGGCAACATAGCGAGACTCCATCTCCACAAAAAAATGTTAAAAATTAGCCAGACATGGTGGTGCATGTCTTAGTTCTAACTACTCAGGAGGCTGAGAAAGGAAGATTACTTTAGCCCAGGAGCTCAAAGGTGCAGTGAGCTGTGACTGCACTCCAGCCCATCTAAAAAAAAAAAAAAAAGGAAAGAAAAGAAAAAAAGAAATAAAAAGGTATACACATTTTTTTTCTGAGGTGGATGGAAATATGTCATGTCAGAGGTAAATTGTGACTTGAGTAAGTTTTATGTTGAGCAACTCTTTTTGTTTACATTTTCTATGTTGCCCAAATAAAGTCTTATTTTCATAAATCACTGCTTTACATAACAACTTTTCCTGCAGCCCTGGGTATGGTGGCACACAGTTGTAGTCCCAGTTACACTGGATGCTGAGGCAAAAGGATCATTTGAACCCAGAACTTCAAGGTCAACCTGGGCAACATAGCAAGATCCTATCTGTAACAAAAATTTTTTTAATGATAATTCTCATGCAAAATTCAGTTTGCACTGTTTTAAAAAATGAAACACTTATAAGAGCATGGTCATAAGGCAATTCTGACTTGGTGTCAAGCCATTTAAACTTAGATATAACCTAGGATTTAGGATCCTTGCTATTGTTTACATAGTAAGTCCACATTTAATATCAGTAGATTATTGGAAACTGCAACTATCAGCAAAATGGTGAACAATGAAACAAATTTTACCATAGGCCAATTGATACAACAAGATATAAGTTCCTACTGCATATTTCTGGTCACAATATTATCACTGTACTTCTAAATGGAGACTAAAACAACACTTATAACATTCAACACTGAAATAAGTGTGAGGTATACATACATTTTTAAAAAGATTAATAAAAACAAGTAAGATGATTATTTACCCAATTATTCCAGTTCAGAGTCTCGGGTGGCAAGAACCTATTCTTACTCAGCATGCAATGCAGGAATAAACCCTGCACAGTATGCTATTCCATGGCAGGGCACAACCACATTCACTCACATTGGGACACACAGTGGGGAAATGCCAATTAACCAGACATGCACATCTTGGGGATGTGAGAGGAAGCAGGAGTTCCTGGAGAAAACCCATGCAGGCATGGGGAGAACATGCAGACCCTACACAGATGGTAGCCCTGTCCAGGAATCAATATTTATTCTCATCTACATTATAGCAAAACAACATTGAATAAAACAACTTTATTTGAGGACCTGTCTTACTTGTACATCTTTGGGAAAATCTTTCAACTTTTATTACTCATAATGTTCTCAATAAAAGTGTGTTAAGAATACATATTTCAGGAGGTTTTTTGAGACAATCAAATGTGGCAATGCATGCAGAATTAATAGCCCATAAGGCATTTTATACAGTATGTTCTTAGTAATCTACTTTTAATTGATAATTGCTTTATAAAATAATCTGATTACTTTTGGTATAAAGGATAACATATTCCACTAATACTGTGAAGTTTCAGTGATATAAACACTTAGAAATCATCTGCTCTGTTATGGAAAAAAACATCTAGAAGTATCTTTCAGATTGAAAAATGTTTTTAAGGTGCTGGAATAACGGTACCTCTTGCAGATTTGTCTAGCATTACCCAATGCTTGTGATTGCTAGTAATATTAGTGAAATAAGTATGCAAATCTTTTAATAACTGAATAGAATCCTTCCCTGAACAATTTCCCAGGTGTTATTGCTGTTGCTATCTTATTAAATATTCAATGCCATCTATTATATCCTATACAGAGTCAAATAATAAGGTTACATAAACTAATATTTAATATAATACTAATAAATTTAAGATGATATAAAGCAGAATAAAATAACATTTCAGAATAAAAAGACTTTGAAGCTTCCCTGTATTACTTGATAAGATTTAGGTACAGTCTCAAGAAAACATTTTTTTTTCCTTCTTCTGCATCAGCTCATCTACAAACCAGTTTATTTCTGAAATAGGCCCCAGAGGCAGGCTGGTTGGTGACTGTAATGGGGGATATCTGACTGGCCACTCAAGGAAATTGCTATGGACTTTTAATCTTATTCTGAGTAAGTTCTGTGCAGATTGTGTCTGCCAGGCGAGCACTAAGATTACTGTTTCTGAGATCTTTTGGTTGCTATCAGACTGGACTCAATTTTTTTTTTACATTCTCAAGGTTAAGTTGAAACAGTATTACCCATTATTTATAAATGGTAAGTGTTTAGGTTTTGCCTTCTGTTACAAACTAGAATGTTAATAAAAATACTATATTTAACAAGTTGAAAGTTTATGAAAGTCATTGTTTTTGAAAGTAAGTTTTAGATTAAAAAAACAAAAGAAAGGAAAAGAAAAATCTTTTAAGGGGAAACAATGTCTTTATGTGTTTAAAGTTTCAAAAGGTAATTTATAAAGAAATCAAATATAGTTAAAAATAACTAATCAAAGATGAATATTTAGTGTAGAGGAACATGGATATGGATAAACTGTAGGGTATTTTATTTATCTTTTTCTTTCAGCAAAGATCTATCTAAAATTAGAGAAATGATGTGTTTTATTCTAGAACCATCACGATACAAACAATAATATGTTGTTTTTCATCTTGTATTGGATAAACACTATTAATCCCATTAATCCATTCCTCTTTGCTTCTTCAATTAAAATTCTGTGTATTATATAAATACCTCCCTCTACCCTCTGCAGTGTAGGAGAATCAGGGAAATCTCATCCCATCTGCCGAAACAGAGATGTATCCTGTATGTACCTTGCCAATGATGGCAACTTCTTTTCTTTTGTCGAGATATAATACAAACCCCAGGTTGACACCATTTAGTTCATGATATCACTTCCAGATTGATATTGGTGGAAACGTGACTTAATCTGGCTAAATCAGATGCAAGAGATGGACTTGTGTTCTATTATTAGAATATAAATTTCTTGTCTTTCTGTATGTGATTAGCAAAGCATGCTGCAACAATTGTTCTTATCAGCAAAGAAAAATTCTGATAAGCACCTGGAAATACGGCACCTGGAAGCCCTCATTCCTCAGGACTTGATAAAAGAATTCATTATTATTAAAGCAAGTTAAGAGCCAGGATTACTGTTACTTGTCTTGAAAGCATGTTGACATCTCCATTGTTCCACATGCCTTGTCAGAATGATCTCTGGCTTAGGGAAAACTTTTCAGCTATCTGCTCTAGCACACTGGTGTGAAAGATGTGTTAAGGGAGAGGTGATAGCTTGATCCTTAGTGCTGTCAGACATCAGGTGGGTCTTAGATAGCTCGAATCATCAGGTCACTTTTTTCAGCCATGAGTAGTATGCTCTACAGCAGTTATTAATTTATATAAATGCTGTAGATTTAAAAATGGTAGTGAAGTGCTAAATCAGAGTATTTGATTTATAATTCAGAGCAATTCAATGGGTCATAGTTAAGTTGGCAGAAGTATTCTAGTTATCTCTCCAAATATAATAATTTTAAATATTGTTCACACAAGGAAAAATCCTAACATCTTTCTCCATATCCTTAAAACTCCAGATATGAATTTGATCATGCAGTGCTTGTCTTTCTGTGCCTGGCTTATTTCACTTAACAAAGTGTCCTCCAACTTCATCCACATTGCTGAAAATAACAGCATTTTATGGCTGAATATTGTTCTGGAGGGGTGGATAGATAGATGATAGATAGATGATAGATAGATAGATAGATAGATAGATAGATAGATAGATATACATTTATACACCACATTTTCTTTATCCATTTGTTGTTAGATGAGCATTTAGGCAGATTCCATATCACGGCTATTTTGAATGATGCTTCAATATCCCTGGGTGCAGATGTCTCTTTGACATACTAATTTCATTTTTTTTGATTACGTACCCAGTAGTGGGATTGCTGGGTAATATAATAGTTCTCTTTTTTATTTTTTGTGGAAACTCCATACTGCTTTTCATAACAGCTATACTATTTTAAATTCCCACCAACAGTGTATAACATTCCTCTTTCTCCACATTATCGTTTCCATTTGTTATATTTTGTCTTCTTGATAATATCCATCATTTAAACTGGGATAAGGTAATAGCTCATTGCGGTTTTGTTTTGCATTTTTCTGAGGCTTAATGATGTTGAGCATTTCTTTATATATTTTTTGGCCATTTGTATGTCTTCTTTTGTCCATTTTTTAATCAACATTTTCTTTTGCTATTGAGTTTTTTGAGTTCCTTATATATTCTGGATATCAAACCTTGTTGAATACATAGTTTGCAAACACCTTATCCTGTTCTGTAATTGTCTCTTCGTTTTATTGATTGATAAGAAGTAGGTTAATTGTGCTATATAAGTGCAAACTTTGTCTAAAGGAGAATATGTGTTCTTTGAAGACAAATGTCCATTTGTCAAGCCCCCCAGTACTTTCTTTTATGTAGGAATGCCAATATAGGACCTTTCCGTTTTGAAGCTGTTTGTGAGTAGATTTTTCTCTTCCCACCAACTGGAGGCTAAAATGTAAACCAGAGACCCAAGAATAGCCACTCATTCCTTGCATTTTTAACCTTGCAAGGTAAGAAGTAGGCAGAGAGTCTGAAATTATTCCTGTCAGATGGATAGATTTTTTGAATCCAATGGTAAAGTGGGAAGTGACAAGCTAAAGCAGAGCCCAGCAGCATTCCAGAAAATGCCTGTGCATGCTTTGCTGGCAGTGGCCAGCGGTCATGACTGACAGGACAATAGCCACATGAAAAGCAGAACTTCCTTTTTCTGATATTGGTTCTGACTTGCTCTCTGATTCCTGCCTGAGGCTGGTTCACCTACTTTTTTTTTCAATTCTAAGAGCTGCGTTGTGCTTTTCCAACGCATTCATTTTTGCTTGCTTTAAATTCCAAGTAATTTCTATTGTCTTTAAACAACTGCCTACCTAAAATAATTATTAAATATATAGCTAAAACACTAAATTAAATAAACTTACATTGTTTTCCTTGCTGTAAGAATTCTCTAAGCCTTTCTTATTTTAATATGCATCATGAACCACCAGTTGAGGCAATGTGCAACACATTTTGAGAGACATGATCTACCTGTTGGAATCTTAACATTTAGAACAGATATATTGATCAGTGTATAATTTTTGGATTATCAAAGATGGGAATAAAATTGAGCTATAATATATAAAATAAGAGGATTTATATATGTTTGTTTTTTTACTCCCCATCTCACCTGCTACTTCTTTATGGATAACAGTTATCCCACTTGATGGAATTTTTCTCTTTTCATCCATTACTTTTTTATTTAAAGTATTCCCTCTCCTAGGATGTAAGTTTCTATAGACTGAAATGTTGTTATTTAATGGTAATAAGCCTTATTTTCAGGCTGCTTTACAGAATTTTGGCTTTGCCTTTTGTTTTCTTCATTGTACTTTTCTTACTCCACTCAGAATTTGTTGACCTTCTTAAATCTGCTTATATCTGTCTTCAATCAGTACTAAAAACATTCTCTATTATTTCCTTAGTTATTGCCTTTGTCTCTCTTTTCCTGGTAAAGTTTAGACATATATTAACGTGTAACTCTATCCTTTGTATCTTGAAACTTTTCTTCAATAATTTATTTTCTTTCTTCCTACTGCACTTCGTTAATTTTCTAGTAGTTCTCCGTTACTTCTAGCAGGTATTTCCTTTCTAAATCTACCATGATCATATTTGTATTTTCCTGTGTGCATCTTTAAGCCTATGTTTTGTTCTTTAACTTCTGTCTGATAATTCTATTATTTAAATTGTTTTTCTTGTCTGTCGATTTGTTTCTGGATGTTGTTATCCTTAACAATATACTGATTCTTCTCTGTGTATGTGTGTCTCTCTCTCCATCTCTCTCTAAACACATGCACACAAACTCTCTCTCTCTCTCTCTCATGTATGCTATATTGCATACAAATGATTTACCAAAATAATTGACTTTATTTTTAATACAGACCTACAAGTTAGTTACTTTCATATTCACGTTACAGTTGAGGAAACTGAGACTCAAAGGGAAAAATGACTTGGCCAAGTTTATACACCCAATTAGTGTCAGGATAGTTTAAGATTACCTTGTTGTCTACTATGGAGGTAAGTTCCTCCAGAAGTTTTGCTTATGCAAGCATTACCCATATCAGATCATCTTAAATCAGGGTGAAAATATGAGTATCTGAACAACTCAGATTTGGTCCCAGACTTCAAGTATGCTCAAGAGCTGGTTCTTGTTTTCTCCTTCATTGGAGTGTATTAACCTTATGATTCTAGCTTAGAATAGCAAAAGTCTCTGGGCAGACTCTCTATATTTTGTCAGCCATAGACTATAATTTCTGTCTTTTTCATCTGAGAATTCTATCTGAATAAAAGTTAACTTGGCTTGCAAGGAAAAGTTCCCCAAATTCAGTGACAGTTTTCCTCTTTGAGCTCCCATCTTCTTTAACTCTTATCATGTTTTTCTGGTAGCTCTGTTCTGCTTCTTCGTTTGACTTCCATTGAATTGGGTAACTTTTTTTTTCCTCTTCCCGATGTACATAAATGACTTAAAGTATATCAATATCACTATATTCTCTATAACACACAAATAACTAGCATAAATACGTTGCATTTAGACAGTATAGTCTAAATACAAGTTCCCTGTCCTATTTTGTAGGTCTTTGAATGTTGTTTAAAAAAATGCAACTAAGACATGTTAAATTTCACTAAGTTTATTTGACCAAGAAAAAGGTTTGAGAAGTAGGCACCATCCCAGAACAAAGATTGTTCAGAGTGACTCCACATCCAGAGTGGTGAGATGTATTTATAACCAGAACATATAAAATTATATTCAGAGTTTCCCTGATTGGTGCAGTTAAATATTTGCCTTATTTGGGCATAATTTGGCAGCATTCAGCCTAGGATTGACTAAGGGTCTGGCTCCTATGATTGGTTGAGTCTCAGTTGCTTGGTTACAAGTCCATATATCTACATTAGCTTACAACTTATCTACACATTAAGTTAGAGTACAGTCACTATGTATGGATGCTGCTTTGGGCCAAACTTAATTAGGCAAGTACAATGGGCACTTTGAGCCAAACTTAACTCAGCTTAACAATGTTCTCTAGTATTTGTTTTACTTTATTTTATTTGTTTGATTCAATATAGCAAATGCTTCTTTAGACTTACCCACATGTTTATATATATATTACTGTTTTGCCTCCGTTGAACATGCCTTCTACTTCCTAATTTGTGCCAGAATTGACTAGTAGACGCTATGAATGCATCATGCTCTTTGGCCCATTTCGAACACTCAGGTATGTCTGTACTCTTAGTTCATCTATTCATCATTGTTTCTACAGTTCCCTCATGCTTTAAAAAATATATGGCTTTTATAATTTATCCAGCTTTTTCTTGTCATTTTAATAAGAGTATGTGTCTTATACAACTACTACATTCATCCCAGAAGTAGAAGCAAACTATTATAATCCCATTATTTTTATTCCTACTATTCTCTTTTCAGAATTTCTTTTAGATATTCCTTGGATAGTTTTATTCAATCCTCCATGGCTTTCAGCTTATCTTATGTTCTATCTTTTGGTTCATATTCTGCATTCTGGATAATTCTTCATCTTCACTTTCTAGTTTGTTGATATTCCTTTTGGTGACTATAAGCTGCTCTTTAAAATGGTCAATAATGCCTAAGATGTTTATTATCTTGCCCTTTGCAGAAAAAAATTTTCAGCTTTTGCTCTGGAATGATTTTGCATCTCTTCCACCAAACTTCCAGTGTATCAATGGCCAGAAAATAATCTACATGTTAATTTGTTAATTTGATGGTTCATGGTTCAAGGCTGTACAATTTAAAAGTTTGAAGTCAAACAACACATGATGGATAATCCTGATGTTACAGATTCTCAGGGGAGAATATGTATTTGTTTTTTTCTACCAATTGTTCTAGTATTTACAGACAAACTTCTTAATTATACTGGGTTGGTTAATAAGTATTTTTCTTTACTCTTTCAATCTAGGTCCAGCTATGCATCACCCCTTCGCTGATGAGCATTAAGAAAATCCAAATTTATAAATTGCTGGGTCCATCTCTCTTGCCATCCAGAAAAGTCAGAGCAACTGGTCTTGCTGGTTTTAAGTGTTGCCTGTGTTTCTGGCATTGGTAATTTTCTTTGTTTTCCTGTAGTTTTAGGTATACATATATAATGACATCTCCAAAATTCATCAATATTAGCATTTGTTATGAAGATTTTTCAGGCAACTGTCTTACCATATGGCCTAAATCTGATTCTAAAGTCCACGTTTCACTTTCTCAAATATAAAAACTGTTTGCTAATAAGCACTAGAAAAATATTTCAAAGAAGAACATTTTGATAGATATGATTATACAATATTCACTGCAGTAAATAACCGTTGCATACTCAAAGGAGTTTCATTTGCATATATAACATGAGATGAAAACCAATGATAAATGGTGACTTTTAATAAAATAGATCAGAAATAGTATCTTGTGCAAATAACCTGATGCGAGAATAATTATCCCTCTAATTAGTAAAATTCAATAAGAAGGTAGAATTTTCATTTACATGTGATCAAATAACTTTTTTTACAATACCTTTGCCTTTTGAATTCTTTAATAAAATACATCAGAAATAGTATCTTGAACAAACAATCTGATGTGACAATAAGTTCCCCTCTAGTAAAATTCAGTGAGAGTGTAGGATTCTCGTTTACATGAGATTGAATACCTTTTCTTTTTACAGTACCTATTGCCTTTTGAATTCTTTATTGTTTTCATTTAAGAAATGTGGAAATCTGAAACAAACTATATTCTCAATCATGTTAGATAAAGTATATGTAATATGTATTTTTTAAAGTCCAGTGGCTAAGAACTTAGACTGGGTTTTGAAATAATAATTTCCTAACACAGTTTCTCAGTATGTTTCCTCTAGACAAGAGAAAACTCTGTAATTATGATTCTTAATTTACCCTGGTAATTTCATAAGAAAAATGATTAATTACTTTGAGCAATTAGTTATACAGATAATCATGGTTCTTTATTTAAACCACAAAAAATAGAAAGAAAGCAGAGAAGCTTAAGCATAAAATATAAAGAAAAATTCAGTCATTTAGTAAAAATGAAATCAGTGTTAAAATATTTCTTTTGACACAGTCAGCTAACATCTTTCTATTTTTGCTGAGTAACTATTAATTATATTTTAAGTTCAACTAACTCTTGACACAGCAATGGAATTTGAAGTGAATATACTACTTTGAAAAATAAATGGTGTATTTAGAGTGTTGACATTTAGAAAATGGTAGTTTTGTGAAATTTGCAATGTGTTTTAGAATTATAAATGCTAAAGTAAATGAATGCATGATTATATTTAATAGAATAAAAACAGAAGAATTTTTTAAGTCTTGACGACCCAAGGCAGGGTTCTGTTTTAAGTATTCCCCTTTCAATCAACGTTACAGCTATCCTAACTTAAAACTGCTTCAACTAATAATGTGTATTTATATTAAAAATGTAATCCATGGCTATGAACCCTGGCTTCCTAGTAGAATCACATGGCAAGATTTTAAGTAATACTCATTTCTTGGCTCTACTAAAGTCCAATTAAAACAGAACTTCAGTTTTTAGAAAGAGGTGTGGGTAAGTTTGAAATGTTCCACATTATTCTAAGATGTGGGTGAGATTAAGAACCAGTAAGCACACCAGTCAGAATGGCTAGTATTAAAAAGTCAAAAAATAGCAGGTGCTGGTAAGGTTGCAGAGAAAAAGGAACACTATACACTGTTAAAGGGAATGTAAATTAATTCAGCCATTGTGGAAAACAGTGTGGTGATTCCTCAAAGACCTAAAAACAGAACTACCATTAGACCCAGCAATCCCATTACTGGGTATATATCCAAAGGAATGTACATTGTTCTATTATAAAGACACACGCACACATATGTTCACTGCAGCACTATTCACATTAACAAAGACATGGAATAGACCTAAATGGCCATCAATAGTAAAGACTGGATAAGTAAAATGTTGAACATATACACCAGGGAATAAGATGTAGCCATAAAAAGGAATGAGATCATGTGTTCTGAAGGAATATGGATGGCATTGAAGGCCATTATCCTTAGCAAATGAATGTAGGAATGAAAAAACAAATGCCACATTCTCTCACTTGTAAGTGCAAGCTAAATGATGAGAACACATGCACACAAAGAAGGGAACAACAGACACCGGGGCCTGCAAGAGGGCAGAAGGTCGGGGGAGGGAGACCATCTGGAAAAATAACTAATGAATCATAGGCTTAATGCCTGGGTAATGAATTAATCTGTAAAACAAACCCCCATGATGCAAATGTATTTATATAACAAACCTGCACATGTACCCCTGAAATTAAAGGTTAAAAAAAAGAAACAGGGAGCATTGCTAGGCTATATTAAGCACCAACTGCGCATACTTAACCTATAAAATGCCTAAAATATAGATAGTAAAAAATATGCACAAGAGTGACATAAAACAAGAATTCAGATATAGCAGTTGTTTTTATTTGTTTAAGAATAAATTCAAAATTCAGAATTATAATTGTATACTCTCAGAAGAGAAAACACAATCAGATTCATTTTATATAAAATATATTGTGCTAATTTACACACTTTTTGATCCCTAATAATAAATACAACTCTGTTAGATACCTTAAAAGCAATCTTTACATTGCTTAGAGAACGTTAAATATCAATTGTGTATTTAAATTTTCTACTTATATGACAGTATGCTATTTTTCCTTAACTTTGGGTAAATAATTTTATGGTGTGATTAAACCGATCTGACATTTTGAAAAAGGGTATGTTTTTTAATGAAATATAAAAGAGTTGTAATTTTAGTTATTCACTGTTGCACAAACCTACTTTTTTGGCTTCATTTGCAAAAGGTTGTTGGATAACCTTTATCTTTTACCACTAACTTCTTACTCTGATCCAAAATATTTGGCTTTTAAAATTCTCCTTATTTCATTATTTGTCTTCATATTTAAAATATCTTCTGTGATATTTCACTTCTAATTTTTTAATATTTTTACATAAAAAGAGATGAATACTGATATCCCTGATTTTTAAGAGAGGATTTTTATTGCCCTGTTAATTTGGAAATAAACATGCGATAATATGATTTTAAAATGCTAAAGTGGAGCTCTAGTAATTCAACTGAAAATAGCATTATGAATAAACTATACTGTGGCAACTCTTTAACATAATAAAGGAGGACATCAACAGAGCAGAAAATTGATGAATTTTGGAATATATGAAGCATGTTGTATCAAATTGCCAGAGAAAGTAATGATCTTCTGTTACTGAACTCAGGTCACAAAGCCTACTGCCTGCTAATCGGCAAGTGGACCTGTTTCTCTAACAATGGCCGGAAACTTCACAACATCAAAGGAGAAATCATTGCCAGCAAAAGCATTTCCGGGCAGTAGGAAAGAATACAAGTGAATAACATTAGTCCAGAAGTTTTAATAATATTCTTTGCTGGTTGAAATTCATGTTTAATATGATGTAAATTACTTGATAAGCAAATTAAGAACTATGCTACTACAGACTCCAAATAAGACGCAAGAAAAATGAGAGGAAATACATTAAAGGAAAATCTTAAAAAAAACAGCTGCACAGGAGATAAATTATTTTTCCAGGAGTTTTAAACATAGTTGCTTTTGTTTGTTTGCTTTGCTGTTTTTTCTTAATAATTGTTTTAGTAAGCTCAGGCTGCTATATAAAAATAAGATAGGCACTGGTCTGAACAATAGACATTTATTTCTTATAGTTCTTGAACCTGGCAAGTCTGAGGAGGGTCATCTTCTGGGCTTTCAAAGGGCTGCCTTTTTCCTATGTACGTACATAGCGAATAGAAAGCGTTAGCTCTCTGGTCTCTTCCTGTAAGAGCACTAATCCCATCATGAAGACCCCATCCTTATGGGCTCATCTAAACCTAATTACTTCCAAAGGTCCCACCTCCAAATGCTAACACATTGAGAGTTAAGGCTTCAATATATTAATTTTGGGGAAACAAGACACAGTCCATATCAAATATATATATATATATATATATATATATAATATATATGTATAATATATATGTATACTATATATGTATATAATATGTATGTATAATATATATACAAATATATATAATATATATTACATATACCAAATATATATATTATATATATTTGTATATATAATATATATATTTGTATATATATTATGTATGTTATGTAATACAACTATATACACTCTACAAAGGCAGTGGAATATAGACATACTTCAATTGATTGTGCTTTGCTTCACTTGGCTTCACAGATAATGTTTTACACAAATTGAAGGTTTATGACCACCCTGCATCAAGCAACTTTATTGGCACCACTTTTTAATAGCATGTGTTCATTTGTATATCTGTGCCATATCTAGGTAAATCTCACAATATTTCAAACTGTTTAATTATAATTATATTTGATATGATAATCTGTAACCAGTGACCTTTGATGTTACTATTGTAATTGTTTTGGGCACCATGAACCACATCCATATAAGACAATAAATTTAATCAATAAATGTGTGTGTTCTGACTGCTCCACCAACTTAGACAATTAGTTTTAGATCTTTTATTTAGACGATGAGAAAATTTAAACTATAAATAGGCCAGGTCTGGTGGCTTATGCCTGGAATCCCAGCATTTTGGGAGGCTGAGGTGGGAGGCTCACTGGAGGCCAGGAGTTCAAAACCAGCCTGAGCAACATAGGGAGACCTCAGCTCTACAACTGAAAAAGAAATAGCCAGGTGTGGTCATGGTGGCACCTGTCTGTATTCCAGCCACTTGGGAGGCTGAGGCAGGAGGTTTGCTTGAGTCCAGGAGTTTGAGGTTGCGGTGAGCTACACAATGAGCTATGGTGGCACTACTACACTCCAGCCTGGGCCATAGAGTAAGGCCCTGTCTCTAACTGGAAGTCCAAAGAGGGATCTACTTCCAAGACTATTAATTTAATAGATCAATAAATTAATCAAAAATATGATTTTTTTCTCATCTTTCTCTGTAGTCATATTTTATACAGACTTTTTGTTTAAGTAATCTCTCTTTATGGGCAGACAATGATTTCAGAAACACCACAAATTATTCTCAAAGAGAAAAGACGAGGATTTTTTTTTTTTTAGAAAATGTAACTCTTTTCAGTAGCTCTTGGCAGACCTACCCTCACATTTTCTTGACTAAAAACAGTCATTAAAAAAAGTCAGTCAGAAACAGGTGAATTTAAATTATCATGGTTTACCTATGCTTAACAAGCTTTATCCTCAGAGGTAAGGATAGGGTTACTTTCCTGAATTTTATATATGTGGAAATATTTGGAGTTATGTCAATAAATGAAAAAGTGTGATGGATATAGTGCTTGCCATGGAATATACCAAATACAGATATTCTGAAAACTTTAAGTTCAGTAATATGCCAGGGGTTCCCAAGACCACTTGAGACCTGGTAATTTATTGGAAGTCTCTAAGGGAATCAGAAGCTGTAGTACTCATTGTTACAGTATATTACAGTAAAAACAGTACAGATAGAAGTCAGCTAAGAGAAAAGACAAATGAAGTGAACTCCAGGAGAAACCAAGTCCAAGCTCTCAGGTGTCCCCTCCCAGAGCAGTTGCATGGGGACATGTTTAATTATCCCAGCAACAATATGTAAAGTACAAAGCATTGCCAACCAGGAACACTCGCTGGAGCCTAGTTGTCGAAGGTGTTTACTGGGATCAGTCGCATAGTCATGTAATGCCCATATGATTGACCTCAGCTCCATGACATTTAAGCACAACTTTCTTCCTACACCCAGAGTAAAAACAGATGTTCACATAAGTCACGTTGATAACATAACCTTTTCTGGTCGAACTGGGAGAGTATGGCCCAAGACTTCAGGAAAACAAGAACACTTTTATCAAGCAAAATACTCCAAGGGCTCAGAGATGAACTCCTAGTCTAAGGTCTAGTCCTGCAGAGGGACCCCTCTTTGGAATGTATAGTATTTGAGCAATTCAGGCCAGTCAAGTTAAACCTTTTCACCCATGCCTAAATGCTATTTAATAAATGTAAATAACAACGATGAGATAGTTTATTAAACATTTTTATTGAAATCCACAAATAGTATATAGTTAATTAATTTTAACAAAGTGATTGTACATATTTCACAATAAAATTCCCTTAAATTACCATCTGCTCCATCTGCAAGTAATTATTATTCTGATTGCTAATAACATAGACTTTTTTTAACCTATTTTTGAACTTTTATAATAGAATTAAACAATATATATTCTTTTCTGGATGGCTTCTGTTACTCAGAAATGTATTTAGGAGAGTCATCAAAGCTCTCTTGGGTATACCATTTATCCTTCTTGCTTGATAATACTCCATGTATGTATATATATGCTATGATGTGTTTATTTTACTCTTGATGGATAACTGCAAAACTTCCAATTTAAGCTGTTGTGAATAATTCTTTAATAAAAAATTTTGTACATTTGCTGAATATGTTTATGTGTTCCTGTTGGATGATAGTAGCAGAATTATTGGTCACAGGGTATGCATATACTTAATTTTAACAGATAAGGTCAAATACCTTCCAAATTCATTTTAACAATTACAGTCAACCTGCATTGTTTTAGAGCCCCGATTGCAGAGTCATTTTGGATTAGTTTGTCTTTCTCTTATTGATTTTAATGGATAGTGTTAGGCTGTAAATAAAGTTATTTACGCATAGTAAGAACTTTCTCAACAAATTTTACTCAGACTTCTGCTCTACGCTAAGAACTAGCTCTGGAAATTAATTCACAGAAAGAACATGGTTAGGGGCCATCCTGAGGGATTTACCTCACTAGGGATATATATTTACATTTCAAGAGAAGATGAGACCCAGTAGATGCATCCCAGAAGTTACAAAGCCGGAGAGTCTAGTGTTATCTTTCCCCTAGAGAGATTTATTTTTATCCAAATGGTTAGAGTAAGAACTCAGATTTTTTTCCGTTTTGTGACTATGGAGACACACTCAGAAGGGGGTCAGAGCAACTGGGTCACTCTTCCACAAAAATGCTCAGGTTCTTTTTTCCAGAGTTCTTTGCCTACAGCAGATCCCCTTACATGTAGGACATCTGGTTCTCACCACATCACCACCACGGTAAGAATTAGTGGAAAGGAGAGCTAGGTTAAGGGCAGCTGTTTCTTTCCTTCTCTGCAGCCTCTGGTACCAAGTACTGCATGACATGTGTCTCACAACATTCCTGCCTCTGCACCTCTGTGCTACGACACTGGATGAATCTATGGAGTGAGCAATAGAAAGTCTCTGAACTGCCAGAAACAACTTCATTTTACATGGAAGTGGCTTTAAATCAAGCACATTAACCTCAATGAACTGAAATTAAATATGTCTCTATTCAACTTCCCCTTAGCTGAATACTAAAAGTGCTGTAGGCTGGACCCGCACTACCTGACAGGGAGATAAATGACTAAAGGCAAATGGGAGTCAAAACAGGTGTGGCTTTTCTTATTTTTAGTTAAGCATCTTACATAGCAAATTTTGCAAAACTCGTATGACCCCGAGAAAGACCCATACACATGAAAGGTCTTAAAGATTTAACTTTCTTAGCTTTAACGTAAGCTTTCCACTGGATTTTCCCATTACACTCATTCCATAAAGAAATGAAATAATCATGTATCTCATTATATAATTATACTAAATTGATCTCGACACATTTTCTTAGCAATATATACCAACATTGTTTCCAATATTGTTTATTACAAATGATGCTACAGTTGAAATCTTTATATCTGAACGCTTGTGTGTGTGTGTGTACCTATTCTGTGTATAACACTGATTTTATTTATTTGTATAGGCCTGGAAGTGGAAATACTGTGACATAAAATAGAGGCACAGCAAATTATTCAAGATGTTGACAAACAGCATTGTTTCCAAGTTTTTGTTCCCTTACAATCCTTGCCATTGGCCAATCTCTCAGAATCCCGTGTTGCTTAACATTTAGTAGCTTAGTAAATATTTTAAATCTCAGAGATTTTACCTAACTGATACCAGGGTTTTTAAAATTTGTTTATATAGATTAAGCATCTTTGAAGAAATAACAATATGCAAAAAATATGGTTGGTATTCTTCATGTTAAAACTATCTTAAACTCTTTTCCAGAGGAAAAAATAACAAAATAGAAACCAATGAAGGTCTTTTGCTTGGTGATTACATATATTGATTACCTGTGTAAGTTAAACAGATTGGGAAAAGGAAATATCCAAAATTGTGCCTAGAGTATATCATGACATCATGTATATATGTAAATAAGTTAATTTTTGCAATCGCAACATAGAGAAAAATGTTATTTTAAATGAATAAAAATAAATAGAACATAAAGTAATATTTCAGCATATTAAATTTAGGAGTAAAAACCTTTGACATCCCTGAAAATCTTTGGTAAAAAGTCCAGATTATGATAACTTGGCTTTAATGAACTAGGAAATAGATGGATAATAGCACACACATTTTTAGCATTGTAGGGATTATTTTCACTGGTTGTAGGATCAACGCACTTGGTTTAAATAATGGTTCTGAGAATTTAATTAATTAATTTAATTCATTTTTGTTAGGAAAATAAATTCATTTCTAGACACAGGATATTTTACAATTGGATCATATTTCAAAAAAGAATCACTGTGTTTTTAATGAACAAATGTCACATAAAGAAGTCTTTTCAAAAAGTGCTTCAAAAACTTAAATTTGAAATATATGCAGCGGATCCACAAGGTATCTAATAATTTTTATTTTTACCAAGCTCATGAGTAAGTTAGTTAGCCCTGAAACAGTTTCGGAGAAAAAAAAAGTGTTTTAGTTTCTTCATCTGTAAAATATTTATGTTGCAAATGATTGAGCAAATATATAAATTTAAGCAGTTTGATCCTAGAACTTGTTGTGTTTAAGAATATGGATTATTGAGAAGTACTTCACCATAGTATTTATCACATAGTATGTCCTAATTGAAGATTAAGTATGGTTGTAATCATAATAAAGTATTTTGAAAATTCTTTTGAAAACTGTTTTAATGAATTATAGATTGAACACTGAGATAAGATGGAGTTATCCATGATCTTTAAGACAGCAAAATTAGGTCTTGAAATTAAAATTGAAATGAATATAATACACATATATTGATTTTATGTCGATGTTTTATAATCAAATCTGATTAGAAAAAGGACATTGGTATAAAGGTTCTCCACATCTTCTCAGTCACCCTACTTCATTTTCTAAGGGAATTACATTACGTACTTTTATTTTATTTCTTGTTATATAGCTGTATCCTTTCCTTGATTTCTTGGCTTGCTTCTGCTCTCTTCTGCTATGCCTATCCATCAGTTTCCAGAGCTCAGAAAAACAGTTTTTAACAGCCTAATATATGTATTTGGCAATTTCCTCCCATAACTGTGATTTAATATTCATGGCCACATAAAGGGTATAAAATATTTTGCACTCGGTGTATACACATTTTCTTTATATCACTTTATCTTTCATCAATAACTCAATGGAAATCCCGTTAAGAGAATATGAATAGCTCTAGTTGGTATTCAATGTCTGCCTAACATTTCATGTTGACAAATTATCATAAACTATTCAATAGAAGAATTTTACTAACAATATATCGTTAACATTCTAAAATATTTTTGTATAATCTAGACTTTGGTGGGAACAAACCTTGGAACAAACTGGTTCCAAGGTTTCTTGGAGGGGAGTGGTGAAAAAGAAATGGGGAAATTTATGTTTTTTGAATTTGTCAACTTATTGAGGAGGGGTAAGTAGAGAAATTGACTAATTTGCTAAGACAATAGAAGGCATCTTTATTTCAAATAGTACTTGAAAATTATGCATCTAATTGTGAGGTCAAAAAATTGAAGATACCCCTTAATAAAGAAATAAAGGATAGATCTTCCAAAATAACAAGGATGTAGTGGAATGAATAAAAATGTATCAAGTCAGCAGCAATAAGGTAAAAATATTAGAAAAGTAATGTTAAATAGTTGTCAGATGGAAGGATATATTTGAGCAAATATTTTGTTAAATAGATGACAAAAAGGTAATATTTATACATTACATATATGTGTTTGTATGTATGTATGTATGTATGTATGTATTTATTTTGAGATATAGTCTTGCCTGTCACCCAGGCTGGTATGCAGTGGCACGATCTCGGCTCACTGCAACCTCCGCCTCCTGGGTTCAGACAATTCTCCTGCCTCAACCTCCCGAGTAGTTGGAACTGCAGGCGACCGCCACCACACCTAGCTAATTTTTTTCTTTTTAGTAGAGACGAGGTTTCACCATGTTGGCCAGGCTGGTCTTGAACTCCTGGCCTCGTGATCCGCCTGCCTCAGCCTCCCAAAGTGCTGGGATTAAAGGTGTGAGCCACCGTGCCCAGCCTCACAGATGTCTTAAAATTCACCTGATAAAGTTAGGAGCCTCAAGAAAAATTAGCAGAGGAAAATAATAGGTAGTTACTATTTAGGGTAAACTAAACTGTTCTAAGGAATAGAAAATAAAAATTCCATGTCTTCAAAAATAATTCTTCCCTCTCAATCTCTCTGAATATCTCATAAGAGTATTCAGGCCACAGAAATAACTACCATTTAGCCACTCAGAGGCTTATAGTAGTTCTACTAACTTTAACATTTGGCAACCAAAATTACTCTAAGAATCATCACCCAAGTCAGACAAACAGGTAAGATAACAAGAAAAAGTGCTTGTATAAGGATTTAAGACCAAGGCTCAGGGACAGCAAATATTCTATTTGCTAAAACTAAGCCACATGCACACACCAAGCAAGAGAGCCAGGGAAGTGGATAGGCACAGGCAGTCAGTCCACAGAAGAATGAATCAAAGTGCTGAACTTTCATAGAAAAATCTGTTAAGATTCATGGGTGGTAAAGAAAATACAAATTAAAATAACACAGGAATGTCACCAGAAAAACCATCAAATAGGTAGCATTTAAAGATATCTATAGGACTTATTGTTTCTAGTGTTCTCTCATATATTTCTGGTGAAGAATAATTTATTGTAGAGCTTTTTGAAACAATCTGACAATTTATATTGCAATTAATTGTACTTATGCCATCTGACCAAACAATGTAACTCCTAGGCTTTTTGCCAATATGACTAAAATCATATGCACAATAGTGGTTATTACATTCTTTAGCCCAGTAGCCATTAAATTCCTTGTGCCCTTAAAACCTAAAAGTTCACAGGGAGAAGACCTCTTACTGACTTGTAGAATCTCAATACTACTTATCTTGAAATTTCAGTAAGTGTTAGGTAAAAGAGTTCATTTGGGATAATCACACTATGATAGTCTTTAGCTTTTGAATTGGAATCCAAATTTTAGTTTAGAACAGCAAAGTTTGCGCCTAAAGATTTCATGAAGTAAAAATACTAATTGTGATTATATATCTAAATATTTGCACATCTAAAGTTGTCTTTTACCCGTAACCAGAATAAATGATACCTTTTTTTTAAAAAAAAAAAAAAAAGAAGAGTAATCTATCTAGAAAATGAAAAAATTAGGCTAAAATTGTGACAAGTAATTTAAATGGATATAGATTTATAAAATTAAACTATTTCTCAATTTTGAGAGGAAAAAATCAAGGAAATCAAATATACCTTCTCTTTCTTTTGTCAACAGATGTATGCTGTCTTAATTGATGCTTAATTTATTTTTCCATTACATAATTTTAATATTGTAATAATTATAACAACAGACACAAAATGAAATTTCTGTATATTTATGAAAAATGCTAAAATTGTAAAGTAATTTAAATATATAGGTTTAATTTATTCATATGATTTAAAATTTTATGTCATTTTATTTTATTTCTTAATTGTTGCTATAATTAAATGTTAATAAAATAAAGTCTTTAAAAATTCTGATTTGGCCTTGCAATATGCGATTAGAACACCTGTAAAAATGCAAACATATAAATAATGCAAAAATAATATTTGAAAAATGTAATCGTTCTTAATGTTATTGAACATCCAAAATTATTGACGAAGTATTCAGAAGCATTTTAGATTATTGTAAAATATTATTTAAATTATATTTAATTAAAAAATGATATACATTACTCAGTAAAAAGAAAAATAGATAATCAAGAAAAGCAAAACTGAAAAGATGAAAATGTTTTAATATTCAAGAAGCAATCCTGTCTTTTTTACTGAATTAAGGGCCTTCCCTGCAATAAAATCGATTATGCTCACATAATAAAGGTATATCTTAATAATTTAAGTGAAGAAATAAAATCTGTCATCACTTTCACTTTCATCTGGAAAATAGTACCTCGTAAGTTTTTTCTGTTGCAGACTATAAACATAGCAGCAAATTTATTAACTTGGCACTATTATATAAGGTGCATAATGAGAATTTGTAAAATGGCAAAATAGTTTTTTCTAGTCCTATAATCAATTTATCATCAGAATAGCCTCAGACTCTATACAGATTCATTCTATAAACAGTATTGGTGAAAAATCAGATGTGTTTCTGTTTTCTGTTTGTTTGTTTGAGACTATCATTGTTGAATATACATCAAGCAAAATAGTTAAAGTAAAGCCTTTGGGGTAACGTGGTAAATTCAATAATATGTATATGTGCACACACACACAAATACACATCCCAAACAACCACAAGAAGAGTAACAAATTTATAACCCGGGTGGGCGCGGTGGCTCATGCCTGTAATCCCAGCACTCTGGGAGGCCGAGGCAGGCAGATCACTTGAGGTCAGGAGTGAGACCAGCCTGGCCAACATGGTGAAACTCCATCTCTACTAAAAATGCAAAAAATTAGCCAGGGCGTGGTGGTGCGCACCTGTCAGCTACTCAGGAGGCTGAGGCAGGAGAATCGCTTAAACCCAGGAGGTGGAGGTTGCAGGGAGTGGAGATTGCACCACTGCACTTCAACCTGGTTGGCAGAGCAAGACTCTGCCTCAAAAAAAAAATATTATTACCAAAAACCTCACTAATTCTGTACGTCAGCATTTATTAAAATAAGGATAAGAGAGAGCTACTGTAGATATCTCTAAGAAAATAAATAAATGATTATTGAATGTGTAGTTAATATTCTTTTTGTTTGCCCATTTCTCTTTAGAGCCATGTGCATGAATTGCATTTGCGAGCTGGATTACCAAGGGCTTCTCTGAAATGGCAAAGAAAATAATGTTTGATTTCAAAATGCAATAATAGTAGCTATATGAAAACATGACCTTTGAGAGATTATTCAGCAAATAATACACTTAATGAAACTTGTTTTTTAAGAAATAGATATTTCAGAAAATATGGTACTACATATGATTGTTGCCAAATCATTCTGTATACTTAATGGTTGTTCAGCACTTTCTGTTTTATAAAGTACTTTCAAATATATCAATTCAGTTAGCTAGTACCCAAATCCTTGATGTAATCACTGTCATATAACATACAAGCAAACTGTGTGTAATGAATCACACTGCAGTTGGAGTACAAGAGTAGGCATCAGGAAAGTGGCAGCTGTGTCATTTTGAATAAAGGCTGTTGTGGGAAAGGTTCCTTCAGACAGATCCCTCTCCCTAGGTATTTATGTGGTGAGAATAGCAGGTGGGGTTTGTGGAGTAGAGTCCGGGGCTTGTGCATCCTTAATTCAAGTAACAGCACTTGAATTAAAGGTTTATCCTAACTATAAAGCTATACATTTTTCTCATGATGTATTTGAATATATTCTTTTTAAGGAAAGAAAAAAATGTAGTCATATAAATGTTCAGGTCCTGAAGTATATGTATGTCACTTATTGCTATTCTCTTCTGTATTTTATGTGAATGCCACAAACATTTTTAAAATTTTAAAGAAGTAAACATATATACAACATAGATTTTTAAAATGAGATATATGCTGAAACAAAGTTTTGAGGAGGTATAATGTTCCAAAATGTAATTAGATGACAAATTATTTCTGGTACACATTTCCTAGCACTTATATTTTTCACCCACTCATAAAACAATGTGAAGTAGGTCATACTGAGTCACCAAATTAAACATTCAAATTATTCTACATCTCCAAAAGTAGCCCATAATTAAAAGGAATTTCATATTGGAATAACTGGACCTAATTTGCTTATTCATTAAATTGTGTCCAAGTGTAGTCTCTGAATTATATCAATTAGGGAACGAGAAGGCATACTTAAAAAGAGCTGAATTAACAGTGCAAATAAAGTAACCACTGTGGATACTTTTGAAAATTCTAGTGTTAATTTTGTTAGTCAATGCAATGGAAATACATCAGTAGCATAGTAATAAAAAATATTTCTTTTTATAGCATCTTTGATAATTATAAAATTAATAAAGATTTATTATTTAAAAAAAAGAATAATTCCTACATCATTAAAATCACAAGTAACTCCACTGTCTAATTACAACAACTATTGCGGTTTTTATGTATTTTCTTATCATTTTATTTATTTATAATTGATAGGTGAGTATTAAAATATAGCCTGACATTATTTTATGATTAATAATTTATTTAAAATATATTATATGATTAAGTGTCTATTTAAAATTAAGCCTGTTAAAAATAAAACTATTGATCTTTCCTATCCTCTAATCCCAAATTTGCTCCTTCCAAATTTAAACCCAGGTGAGTAATTCCAACTCTGTTCCTCCCATAGTTCAGGCCAAAACATTGCCAATATCATGGACTTTTGCCTCTAATATACAGGGTTCAAATATATCTTGTTTGCATAGAACAATTTCAATTTATAATTTACATAGTTTATAGTTTAGAACAGCTTCAGGAATAGTTTACACGATAGTTTCCTCACTAATTTCCCTGTTTTCTCTTTTGCTATGCTATGGTCTATTTTCACAGATCAGTCAAACTGTTACTGCTAATTCTTTAAAGAGGCGATTGCTTTTCTGTTTAAAACCCTTCATGGCTGCCAATTAAATAAACAAAAGTTCTTACCATTTTCTAAGAAGCTTTATGTGACCATCTCCCCATGGAGTGTGACCTCATCTCCTCTGCTGTATCACATTGGCATCCTTAGTGGAACCTCACGGGTGCGTTCATACACCAAGGCCTCATTTGCTATTTCTGCTCCCTGAAAATATGTTCTCTCAATTATGCTCTTGGCTCATTCTCTCATAACTATTCATTGTATTCAGATGATACCACCCAGTGAGGCTTTCAGCAACCATCTTGTTCAGTATCCAGCACCTCTTGTGCCCAGAACTCTCTATTCCCCTTCTTTGCCACATTTTTTAGAATAGTACTTAAACCCTCTGGCATACAACACATGATACTTTGTGGTATTAATTACTGTTTTTCTCCCAACACTGGAACAACAGCTCTGTGAAGCCAAGACATTCTGAATGTTATTTTCACTATTTTTTCCCCAGTCCCTACAAATGGGCCTAGAATATACATAGTAGATGCTCAATAATTTGTTGGGGAACAAATGAAAGTTGATCCTCAATAATATTTTATAATGAATAGGCTTACAATTTATGAAAAAGCCATAACTTATTTAGCCATCTCCCTAAATTTGCATGCTTTTGTAAGTAATATCATGGTTGTGAAAACAATTATGTGTGTTTATACGTATATGTATATAGGTATTTTATGGCAATGATATACATACATGTATAGTCTTCTGTAATATTTACAGGTGCTTTTGTTTTGCTTGCATTATGCAGCATATATGATTTTATAGCTAGTATTCTGGATGTCCATGAAACGTCAATTAAAAAGAAACTAATATTATTAAATAGCAGACCTGTTAAAGTGGTAGTCAAAATATTCTTTCCCCATCATATACCTCAGAGATTTCTGATGAACCCTTTTGAAATCTAATAGTGGCTGTAATCATAATAAATTTTTTCTAGGTAGTTTTACAAACACTTTTTAATCTTCAAAATTCAAGGCTAATGTATGCATGTTGAATGATTATGGCATTCATATATAAGCTATGTTTGGAACCAGAACTTACCAGTGCTTATATTTATGTGTAGGTATGATAGACAAAGCATAGGAATAACAAGATATCATTAGTTTATTATTCATTAAAAATATGAGTAGAACTGGTTTTGCTCTGTAGTTTTTGCTATGATAAACCTTAGCCATGAAAATAACCTGCTATTGAGCATGTGTGTCATCCATCTTATGACTCACCAAAAATGGGGAAATGAGTCTAGAACCATCAAAGCAGTTGACAACAGAAGTGAGATTTCAGCTTGGATGCATTTTATTATAAAAGTAGTATAATTATATTCAAGAATTTGTTAACCTTTTATCTCACTAAATAAATTTCAATATTCATTATAAATAACAAATTCAAGCATTTAAATATTATTTATATATTCTTAATTTTTGTTGTTTGTTTTAATTACACATGTCAATCCTGTTATGGAATGACATCAACATCCCCTTGTCAAGAGGATATTTTTAAATTTCCACATGTACATTTTAAGAGTTTGATACAACCCTATTTATCTATGATTTTCTCTTTCCTATAATTAGTAATTTTCACTGTAGAAGACTCACTTATAAAAGTGTATATTATTATCATATTTGGATGATAAACTAAAATTTTGAAATATTTAGAAGCATTGTTATGAACTCATTAAAATTATCAGAATCAATTCATATAAAATGATATTTAATATTTTCTTATACATAAATTAGTGACATTAATTGTTTTATACTTTAATTTGATTATGAAAACTTTCTATGTGTTTTTGAATTTGTGTAACCTTAGACAGATTGCTAAGCCCATTTCATCATGCATTAATAGAATAGGATTAGATAATCTCTAAGGGTCCTTTTGGCTCTAAGATTATATGATTGTAATTAATGGCACTGCAGATCTTGTAGAGGGACATTAAAATGGACCCATACCTGAAGTTACTTTTCAATTGAATTAGTACTTAGGGAGTTGAGACAGTAGAAACAAGGAAGGCAAAACAGTCTTTCATAACAGATCATAATAAATTTGCTAATATTATAGAAAGGTCATTGGAAAGTGTTTGTCCTTTTTTTTTTAATAGGACCTTCCCATTTTCACTTACAGTTTTGAATACATTTATACATTTCCTTCTTCAAGCGTCATTTAAATTAAAAGTGTTTCTATTTTCTCCAGATGGAGTTTCAATGCTCATAAACATTTACATTAAGAGAGAATATAGTACCTATTATCTAACTTAAGTTGAAAAAGAATGAAACTGTAAAATATATTTACCAAAATAACTAAAGATTTACTTATCTTCGGTAGGCCTGAATTAGTTTACCTTTAAAAAGCATTCATTGATACAAATTTTAAAAATCCATGTAACAGACATCAATCAAATGTGATTTTTCTCCAGTTTATTATTTTCTGCCAGGGGAAATAAAATGCAATAATCACATTTTAAATATACATCTTTTTAAATGATTCTGTTGTTATACATATGATTGTTATTAATATTTTTACTATTATTGAATGCCCCTGTACTGACCTTTCCAATTTGATAGTGCAGTAAGAAATAAACTTTTTTTTAATATTGAGAATTAGAAATGACCTGGTAATTTCTTTGTACTAGAGACCACTAATTGTCCATATAATGATTCTTTCATTTTGTTTAGTAATAGAATCCTAAGTACATATGACCACAAGCAGGAGATTACCTTCTATAGTCTCTTATCAGTGATTAATTTTGATCAAATATAATATAAATTATATTATGAGCATAAATTTAAGTTAATCTCCATAAAGACAAAGCTGATTGTTTTTACATCTCTTCTTACACATTTTACTGTCTGGAATGCAGAAGTATTGCTGAACTTAGCCATGAGGATGAAACACTAAGATAGGATTATAAAGAGAATACAAGATGAAAATCTCCTGGGGCCCGGGATGAACTCATGGAAAAAACATCCCCACCAACTCTCTTAATTGTTGGAGAGAAATATAAGACTACAATAAGGGTCACTCCTTATACTCATTATTTTTGAGTTAGAGATATTGACAAGTGTATCAAACTATATATTTTCTCCCACAAGACATTGAGGGGCACACTTCTTTTATTCTCCAAAAGTAACAAAAAATGCTTTGGTGTCTAATTTTTAGCCTGCAAGGGCTGTCATAGTGTTGTTTTCAAAGACTTACATGTTTTATTTCCTTACCTCACTGCAACATTATAAATTTATCTTCTGTGCTAACATCATGATAGCATCTAATGGTTCCAAGAGTGAAGATTATCACTAGTTTATGAACCTTTGTATTCCCCAAAAGAGAAAGAGATATTACATAACCAAATTCCAAGTATGATTAACCAAGATTTTTCTAAAATGTTCCACTTCTCAATTCTGTCTACTAATTTGAAATAACTGAGCAAAATACATTTGCAACATGATAATTCTTCAAACTCGGCTCTTATACCAAGCAGTACTGATGATTGGGGCATTAAAAAAACCAATAAAATTGTTTTGCAAAACAACGAAGTGAAAAATATGCTCAGCTTATCTTACACAATATTGTTTTCTATATCAAAAATGGCTAGATAACCTTAGAAAAAATGGCATATACATTATTTACCTAAAAGTTATAGTAATCTGGGTAGAAGCTTAAAGTGACCTATCCTGTCATATAGTTGTCATTAACTAGGATATTAATTATTCTTAAAAGGATGCAAAATTTTTCCAAGGGATGTGCATCTGCAGACAGTTTTAAGGGACTATTGTCAAGAACTGTGAAGGATCTGAGCTTACAAGTTAGCCTGCTTCAGTTTTATGGATGTTGGCAGAAGACACATAACTGTTTGGTCAGAGACAGAAAGACTTCCATTATTTGCAGCACAGCACAGAGTTGCACGAGCTTCATCTTTGCTCTGGTTCCTGTTTTCCCTCAAGTTTACGGGAGATGATGACAAGGAGTTCAAGTTGATGCTACACACAGTTTGTGTCACAGATGAAGAACTCCAAGTAAAGGAAACTTAAATCTTTAATAAATGAGCAGTAAGCACACTTGTCTGATGTTTTCTGTGGAGGAAACACTATCTTCATTTTACTTGAAAATAAACAAATCTGTTCTCTCATCCATAAACAAACAATATCTTGATCTTCCAGGGCTATCCGCTATATAAAGATCTTTAAAAAGGAAAACCTGTAATAAATGTGAAGCTAGTGCCTTTCTATTTGCAAGATGCACAGAAATGCATGAGACCAATTGAAAATTGCCTGTGAACAAACACGCTTCCAGATTTTTAGCTTGCTCTTTTCTAAACATGAAAATTCTCAGAAAGTACGTGTTCTCAAAATTCATGCCATTTCTTTTTTCCCAAGTTCCTTTATCACGACCATCTTATTTTTCACATTACCAAATAATGCACTTCCCTAAACTATCCAAAATTTTCCATGGTGTTATAGTTTCTAAGGTACTGAGAAGAAACTCATAGGTGAAGCATATTTATAAATTGTTTACAACATAATATTGAATACATATTTTCTCCTTTTCCCTGTCACTAGTAACTTTTTCTCTGCTTGATTAATTCATATCACATATTTAATAGCCCAATTTATTCAGAACATACTGAGAGGTGAAGCCAGCTGGACTTCCTAGGTGGAGTGGGGACTTGGAGAACTTTTTTGTCTAGCAAGAGGATTGTAAAATGCACCAATCAGTGCTCTGTAGCTAGCAAGAGGATTGTAAAATGCACCAATCAGCACTCTGTAAAACGCACCAATCAGCAGGATCCTAAAAGTAGCCAATTGCAGGGAGGATTGAAAAAAAGGGCACTCTGATAGGACAAAAATGGAACATGGGAGGGGCCAATACGTGAATAAAAGCTGGCCACCCCAGCCAGCAGCAGCAACCTGCTGGTGTCACCTTCCATGCTGTGGGAGCTTTCTCCTTTTGCTCTTCACAATAAACCTTGCTACCGCTCACTCGTTGGGTCCACACGATCTTTAAGATCTGTAACATGGGAAAGGTCCGTGACTCCATTCTTGAAGTCAGCGAGACCACGAACCCACCAAACCCACTGGCAGAAACCAACTCCGGACATAATACCACATGGCAAGCTCTGTTCTAAGCATTGATGTGTACAGGTTATTTACTCCTCATAAGAACACTGAAAGATAATTGCCACTTACTGGCTCCTTCTTAAGATGAGTAAGCTAGAGACAGATACTCATGATTTGCTCAAGACTTCAGAACTTGTCTGTGGCAGAGCAGAGATGAGAATTAAATTTGCTAGCCACCATTTCTTGGAATTTAAACACATTGTTATGCCACCTCTTAGTATATGTAATTAATGACATGCAGTTCACAGAATTATGTTATTTAAATTATATTGGACAGAAATAAAAAAGTACGGTTGATACTTGAGCAACATGAGCTTGAGCTGTGTGCATCCCTTATATAGAGATTATTTTAATTAAAAAAATCAGCATCTGCATTGAAATGTGGATCAAAATACAGTAGCCACAGGATGAAAAACCCGCAGATATGGAGGACTGACTTTTTGTATACTCTGGTTCCACAGGATTACTTGAATATGTGCTGATTTTGGTATCCTCTGGGGTCCTGGACCCCGTCTCTTGAGGATATCAAGGGACCACTGTATTTTTACTTAAAATGACAAGAGTAGAGAATATATGCAGATATATCCCGAGGAACATCTTTTAGGTATATGCTTTTCTATTTTAATTCCTCTTAAAAAAACACACACATCTTAGAACTTACAATGTATCGATAAAAAAATGTGGCCATTATTTATGTAGGAAAAGTTTATATACTCCTCCGGAGGGTAGGAAATGAGATTGCAGTGCACATGGGGTTCTGCCACTCACAATGTAGGATGTTTCACCATGTCTTCCTGAAATGATTTGCAAATAGTCAAGAACAAATGACTGTGGTGATAGAGATGTATTTATTGCTGCCACCTTGTTCCCACTTCACCGTTGCATATTTGTACACAGGACACATATTTATTCTTTTAAGTTTAGATTTTACTGAGAAATGAGGACCTTATCTGGACTTCACTGGGAGAATTATGAGTGGCCAGAGATACTACATTTTGAGCTGGATGCCAGACCTTGAAAGAACTCTGCATTTTTCATTTTGAGAGAAGTCGGTGTGTTTTATAATGGGAGGAAGATTAAAGCAGGTATTTTGGCATCAGAAGGACTGACCTTGACAGAGATTGGTGAGATAACATTATTTCCTTCTTTGGACCACAAGGAAATGCTGTATTTTTCAGCCTCAATTGCAGGTAGGATGAGACCATTTCACTGGTGAATGAAATGTAGGTAGAAGTTATATTTCCCACTTTTAGACTGAGCTATAAGATACCTCACGCAATGCTTCTCATACTCCTCTTTATATTAAATGCAGAGGATTCAGTGAAAACCTTTAAGGAATTTCAGAAAGTTAATCCTCTACTGAATTATTATATGAATGAGAATAAAAAAATTGTGTTAAGTCACAGATATTTGCAGTTTGGTTCAGAAACTAATATTAATTGCCCTGACTAATATACTGAGATACTAGTGATGATTCTGCAATGACTGCTTTTACAGTGAAAGTGACCACAGTAGCATGCATGGATAAATTTAAGGTGATAAACATTAGGATTGCTTACATATTTTTTGGCTTCTTCATGCACATGGTAGGATATAGCTCACTGCCCTGTTTACTTCAGTTATGGAATGTGATTTCCTTTTGCTTATTGAAATGTTAGTAGACTAAAGTGTCTGTTTCCTTCTAGAGGCAAAAATTCAGAGCGTGCCTCACAACATTCTTTTTTTCCTTGAGTACAGTAACTTTCAGTGTTCTGGAGTGGCTGCTTTGTCCTCTAGATCCTGGTATAAAGGTGACAGTGACCCATGAGTAGAATCATAAGCAACACCAAGGACATGTGAAATGAGCAACTTATGATTGAATTGATATAGGCTCCTGACATTTAGAAATTGTTTTGTTATCACTCAGCTTAGTTTTTCTGATGTAATTTAATTGCTCTAAGGAAACAGTATCTGCTGTGATTTGTTACTGTCTCTTACTGCCCAGTGGTTGGCAAGGCCAAAAGTTCTAGACGCGGCAGTATTCTGAGAGTTGAGAGCCAATATATTTTCTTGGCAGTGCTCATGCTCATGGTGCACTTGAAGCTGTGTCGATGCTGCCATAGGAACACCACAAGCCAACCTTGTTTCTTCCATGGTTGCACTCTTTATGTATTCAATTACAGACCTCAGGTGTGTCTGACATGAAACAAACATATGCAGGCATCATGACGGTAATCAACTGATTGCTTCAATGTGCTGGTCTTTGTAGGTCTTGAGAGTATCAACCTGGAAAAACAAGCTTTTAACTTTAATAATTTCAGCAAGTTAATATAAAGGGAAGTTCCACATATAGGTCTGGATCAAGTTTTTCTATGAAGTAGTTGCCAATTAGAAAAGTTTCCTAAACAATTAACCCTAGCAAAAAATTGTGTAAAGATTCCATTCACTTATTACACAAAACAGTATATTTTATGAGTGCTACCTTCTACTTTGGCCATTAGATAAAAGGTCTCTTCACCCTTCTTTTGTCGTGTTTTGCTTAAATATTTGGGCATATAGCTATAACCCATCATTCCCTTTTGAAAACAAAGAATAATAACCAAAGTAATATAATCTAAACCTGCTTTAAAGTCCGAGTGTAGTTTATGTTATATGTTCCTGTAATTATTTGTCATCTGTGGCTCAAATCCCTTTTACTAAAATACTTTGCACTTCACCATAAACAAACTTGTGCAAACAAACAAGACACAGAAGCGATATAAAACTCCCAAAATCAAGTTACTAAGTTTCAGTAACAAATAAACCTGAATGTGTAATTAAATAGATTATAATAATGCTGAAAATTCTGTATTTTAGGTTCTTTGTGATCTAGAGTTCTTCACATGTATTTAGTAAACCATTCCAAGTGCTATATTTCTTGCTAATAAAACCAAATAACAATGTTCAGGGTAAATTTTAATGAATTAATGCTTATAATGCAAACTATGCTTTCATCAATTTTATTCAGAAGCACACGATTAATTATACAACAGATATTTTATATGATTGTTCAGAGTAAAGACTATTTTTATTTGCTTGAATGACAACATAATTTATTAAATGAATAAATACACGGATTCGTCTTCTCCATCACCATTTCAGGCATGTTTTTGTGACATCTACCTTCTTCACCATGAACTCCTTCCTAACCAACCATTATATCTAAAATAAATTATCAGCAAACATAAATAATGTGCTATTCCAGAACTACCTCACATGAGCTAGATGATGGGAGGCATAATTCATAATAAACAGACCCTACCTTTAAATTCTATAAAGCCACAGCATTTAAATTATAACTATGCCACAGAGCAGTAACCTATTTTCCTATTAATTATATCCCATAAAAGCAATATACCTTCACTAATTAATTATACTTGAAGTAACAACTATGGCTTAATTAAATGAACCATTCCTAATAATGAAACCTTAAAATAATTGGACTCTTCTGTCTAGAGGCAGTAACAATTATTGTCATTGGAAAGGATTTCAAACATGGCTATGCTAAGCAACGCTGATTCATAACTGACATTGAACCTGAGATTTCCTAGAGCAGTAGCTCTCAAAACCTTTCGTGAAGGGCCAACTATTAAGTATTTTAGAATGTATGTGCCATGTGATCTCTGTCACAAGTACCAGTATTTGCCATCGTAGTGCATAAGTAGCCATAAACAATATGTAAAATAAAAGGATGTCACTTTATTCTAATAAAACTTTGTTTACCAAAATGCATCAGTGGCCTGATTAGCTCTGTGCTTTGTAGTTTGATGACCTCTTATGTAGAATCGAATTATTGAACTCATCTCTACTATGTTTCTAGATTTGCTAGTATTGTATTCTAGGTTTCTATCTTTCTCATCTATCCATCTTAATGGTTAAGTTTTACAAACCCTTATCATATATAATATTATTTAAATTATATTAATCTGCATTTAACACACATCTTTCTCTATTTTGTAATTTAGCATTTTTGAGCCATTAAAGTTTAAATTACAGTAGAGATGTAGACATTATGTAAAGGTATATTACTTTGTTGTATATGTTCATAAAAGACAATAATGGCCACATTGAAATGACACAATACGATCCACCAAAAGCGAGTAAGGCAGAGATTGTGTACATAAGTAACCAAGTACAAGTTCTGTCCTTCAAGTGAACCCCTACATCATTATTATTCCCTTATGGTGGAAATTCCAGAAGTAGATAGCACATAAATTTTACATCTTCTTATCTGATATATGGATACCTTTTTTATCAAGTATTCCTTTTTTTTTTTTTTTTCTTTTTTCTGAGATGGAATCTCGCTCTGTCACCCAGGCTGGAGTGCAGTGCTGCGATCTCGGCTCACTGCAAGCTCTGCCTCCTGGGTTCACACCATTCTCCTGCCTCAGCCTCCTCCCGACTAGCTGGCACTACAGGTGCCCATCACCACGCCTGACTAACTTTTCCCTATTTTTAGTAGAGACGGGGTTTCACCCTGTTAGCCAGAATGGTCTCGATCTCCTGACTTCATAACCGCCCACCTCGGCCGCCCAAAGTGCTGGGATTAGAGGCGTGAGCCACCGCGCCCAGCCCATATGCCTTCTTTTATTCATGGTTTACTAATTATAATATTCTATTTATATAATTGAGAATTCCTTATTCCATTTTTCTTTCTCATTTTCTTTCATCCCAATCATTTTCAGTCAAAATGTGTATATATATATATATGTGTGTGTATATATATGTGTATATATATGTGTATATATATGTGTGTATATATATGTGTATATATGTGTGTATATATATGTGTATATATGTGTGTGTGTATATATGTGTGTATATATATATGTGGATATATATGTGTGTATATATATATAGATGGGAAAGAAATACAGAGCAATCTAGGAAACATTGTGAAAAAATGGTGTGAACGTATGCATCAAAAAGTAATATTACAATTTTATTCAGTATCCCATCCAAACTTTTCTCCTGCAGGGCTTTCATGCTTGCTATTGTCAAATCTTCTCCCTTCTGCATAACTTTCATTTATCTTCTCTATTATTGCTATTGTCACATAAATGTGCTTTTATTTATCACATTAGAAAAATAGTCATTCTCAGTCTACATGTCTCACAAATATAGAACTACTTTTTTTTCTTCTTTAGAGCAAACTTTCTCAAAAGTATTCAGAAAAGTACAATGTGTAAAACAAGCAGCAAGAGAGGACATCTGTGTTAGGCTGAATAATGGTCTCAAGAGATGTCAGGTCTTAATCCTTAGTACCTGTAAATGTAACCTTTATGGCAAAGAGACTTGCAGATGTGAGTAAGTGAAGAATTTTGTGATGGAAGATTATCATGAATTATCTTGGTGGGCTCTAAATGCAATCTTAAGTGTCCTTATAAGAGTGATGGAGAGGGAGATTTGACATAGAATCTAGGTTGTGTGATCATGGAAGTGGAGAAATATTTGAAAATTATACGCTGCTATCTTTGAAGATAGAAGAAGGGGCCTTTGAGACAAGAAATGTAGTTCTAGAAGCTGCGTTTCTGGAATAATTTCTAGAATTACTCTCCCCTGAGTTCTCTGGATAAAATAGGGTGCTGATCACACCTTGGTTTTAGACCACTGATACTGATTATGAATTTTTGGACTTCAGAACTATAAGAGAAAAAGTCTGTGTTGCTTTAAGCTACCCATTTTGTGGCAATTTGTTACAGCAGCATAGGAAAATAACAGAGAATCTCTTCCTGTTCCCAGGTTTAAAAGCAAGTCTTCTAACATTCCCACATTATTATGTCATAAGATATTGTTTATAGGATTTCAAAAGATACACTTTATCAACTTAATGAAGTGCCTTTTAAATCCTAGTTTAATAAGAGCATATATATATACAGTAAATTAATGATGAATTTTATCAAATACTTCTTTGTATCAATATCTGTTAGGATACAGATCTTATGTATCTGCATCTACTGAAATTATGTGATTTTTCTCATTTACTCTGTGAATGTGATGAATAATCTTTTTAATTGAATCTCAATTATAGAGAATTGAATTAATCATCATTTTGATTAATGACATACTTTCATCTTATGCCTATTCATGGTCATCTTTTATATGTAGGTAATTAAATAATAACTTTTACAGGGTTGGAAGTAACCAGCATATAGCACCCTGCATAAAAGCTAAAACCTGAAGAATGACCACATTTAGCCATATATTTTCTCACTCCCATCTCATCCTCTATAATTACCAGTGTTTGAACCACAACCTCTTTCTTCTCTAAACCATTAGCTGAAATCTAAACTCAGCACTCCAACCTCCCATTTATTGATTTCTGCTAGGCTTCTTGACGTCTCACCTTGTGCATACATATCTTTGATACTGGCCACACTTAAGGGGCATTTGTATGCAGATATTCAGGCTCTCTCTCTGTGGTTACTTCCTTCTTGGAAATTTGTCTCATGAGCCCCATACACACTAGATACTCTGAACTCTAATCTCTGTCACCTCAACACAGTAAAATTTCACTTTCTGTGTATGCTTTCTTTCTTCACATCAGTATTTGGGAAATGTTATTAGAGGAAAAACGTCTGAGTGAATGTAACTTATAGTCTATAATTATTTCTTTTTAATAATAATCCCACTCAAGCTCTGTATACATTGATTGTTCTCCAGTGTCTTCCAACAGTTGTCTAACATATTTTGCCCAGCTTTTATAGCCAACTTCAGGGTGTGAGTTTGTGCTACTTTATCATGGCCTGAACCTGAAATCCTCTAATTTTATTGAAATGGATGGTTATTATAGTTCATGTTGCATTTCTTGTGTTTCCAATAAGTTTTTAGATTTTCTATTTCTCCACAATTCTGGAATTAAGAATCCATTTGCTTCATTCTAATCTAGTTTCTTATACATAATGCTAAAGGGAGTGTTGTTTCAGTGACTGTCAACAACTTCTACGTGGGCACCATTCACATTTCCCAAAGTCTCAGCAGCATTTCAAATTGTTGAAAATTTCTTCCTCTTCAAAACATTATTCATTATAGAGTTTTTTAGAAATACGCCAACCTTGCTTTTCTTCTTGCCACCTCAGCTTTTTATTCCCAACTCAATTGCAACACATTTTTTTCAGCTCATTTGGCATTAATTTCTATTGTCTGTTTCAACCCTTCCTTGATGATTTAACAATAAAAATAAATAATTCCTTTAAAAGGCTCATAAGTGTCGGTAACTCCCATAGCTTTACTTTTACCTTTGACTATTCTCCAACCTTCAGACTTAGACACAAAGTTGTTTAATTACCATGTTGCATTTCTCTCATGCCAAACGTCCACATGACTGATAGTCCTGTTATTTCTTTCTTCAAAGTACATATCAAATGCATTGACTCTTTCCATCGCCATTGCTACTATTACTGTTTTAGTCAATTCTGACTGCTATCACAAAGACCTATAGACTAGGTGGCTTAGAAATAACAAAAATCAATTTTTTCACAGTTCTAAAGGCTAGAAGTCTGAGACCGTGGTACCAGAGTGACCAGGTTTCAGTGATATCTCTCTTCTAATTTGCAGACTACCATTTTCTTCTTGTATCCTCACATGTCAGAGAGTGAGAGAACTCTCTAGGGTCTATTATATAGGGGAACTAGTTCCGTTTAGGAGGGCTCCAACCTCATGATGTAACCACTTCCTGAAAGTACCACCTCCTAATACCATCATATTAAGGGTTAGGATTTCCACCTATAAGTTTCAGAGACAGGGTGGCAACAGCCATGCAGTCCATTGCAATCACTATCCAAGACATCACCATCATCATTATCTCCATTCCTTTATTATTATTATTATTATACTTTAAGTTTTAGGGTACATGTGCACAATGTGCAGGTTAGTTACATATGTATACATGTGCCATGCTGGTGTGCTGCACCCATTAACTCGTCAATTAGCATTAGGTATATCTACTAAAGCTATCCCTCCCCCCTCCCCCCACCCCACAACAGTCCCCAGAGTGTGATGTTCCCCTTCCTGTGTCCATGTGTTCTCATTGTTCAATTCCCACCTATGAGTGAGAATATGCGGTGTTTGGTTTTTTTGTTCTTGCGATAGTTTACTGAGAATGATGATTTCCAATTTCATCCATGTCCCTACAAAGGACATGAACTCATCATTTTTTATGGCTGCATAGTATTCCATGATGTATATGTGCCACATTTTCTTAATCCAGTCTATCATTGTTGGACATTTGGGTTGGTTCCAAGTCTTTGCTATTGTGAATAGTGCCGCAATAAACATACGTGTGCATGTGTCTTCATTGCAGCATGATTTATAGTTCTTTGGGTATATACCCAGTAATGGGATGGCTGGGTCAAATGGTATTTCTAGTTCTAGATCCCTGAGGAATCGCCACACTGACTTCCACAATGGTTGAACTAGTTTACAGTCCCACCAACAGTGTAAAAGTGTTCGTATTTCTCCACATCCTCTCCAGCACCTGTTGTTTCCTGACTTTTTAATGATTGCCATTCTAACTGGTGTGAGATGGTATCTCATTGTGGTTTTGATTTGCATTTCTCTGATGGCCAGTGATGGTGAGTGTTTTTTCATGTGTTTTTTGGCTGCATAAATGTCTTCTTTTGAGAAGTGTCTGTTCATATCCTTCGCCCACTTTTTGATGGGGTTGTTTGTTTTTTTCTTGTAAATTTGTTTGAGTTCACTGTAGATTCTGGTTATTAGCCCTTTGACAGACGAGCAGGTTGCGAAAATTTTCTCCCATTTTGTAGGTTGCCTGTTCACTCTGATGGTAGTTTCATTTGCTGTGCAGAAGCTCCTTAGTTTAATTAGATCCCATTTGTCAATTTTGGATTTTGTTGCCATTGCTTTTTGTGTTTTACACATGAAGTCCTTGCCCATGCCTATGTCCTGAATGGTAATGCCTAGGTTTTCTTCTAGGGTTTTTATGGTTTTAGGTCTAACGTTTAAGTCTTTAATCCATCTTGAATTAATTTGTGTATAAGGTGTAAGGAAGGGATCCAGTTTCAGCTTTCTATGTATGGCTAGCCAGTTTTCCCAGCACCATTTATTAAATAGGGAATCCTTTCCCCAATGCTTGTTTTTCTCAGGTTTGTCAAAGATCAGATAGTTGTAGATATGCGGCATTATTTCTGAGGGCTCTGTTCTGTTCCATTGATCTATATGTCTGTTTTGGTACCAGTACCATGCTGTTTTGGTTTCTGTAGCCTTGTAGTATAGTTTGAAGTCATGTAGCGTGATGCCTCCAGCTTTGTTCTTTTGGCTTAGGATTGACTTGGCAATGTGGGCTCTTTTTTGGTTTCATATGAACTTTAAAGTAGTTTTTTCCAATTCTGTGAAGAAAGGCATTGGTAGCTTGATGGGGATGGCATTGAATCTATAAATTACCTTGGGCAGTATGGCCATTTTCACAATATTGATTCTTCCTACCCATGAGCATGGAATGTTCTTCCATTTGTTTGTATCCTCTTTTATTTCCTTGAGCAGTGGTTTGTAGTTCTCCTTGAAGAGGTCCTTCACGTCCCTTGTAAGTTGGATTCCTGGGTATTTTATTCTCTTTGAAGCAATTGTGAATGGGAGTTCACTCATGATTTGGCTCTCTGTTTGTCTGTTATTGGTGTATAAGAATGCTTGTGATTTTTGTACATTGATTTTGTATCCTGAGACTTTGCTGAAGTTGCTTATCAGCTTAAGGAGATTTTGGGCTGAGACAATGGGGTTTTCTAGATATACAATCATGTCGTCTGCAAACAGGGACAATTTGACTTCCTCTTTTCCTAATTGAATATGCTTTATTTCCTTCCCCTGCCTAATTGCCCTGGCCAGAACTTCCAACACTATGTTGAATAGGAGTGGTGAGAGAAGGCATCCCTGTCTTGTGCCAGTTTTCAAAGGGAATGCTTCCAGTTTTTTCCCATTCAGTATGATATCATTATCTCCATTCTATATTTGGATAATAGTCTCTGACTTTGTCTTCTTGCATTTATTCTTTCCCCCTAAAGTGATTCTTCAAAGAGTAATGTCAAAGAGAACCAGAGCCAGAGGGTAATTAAAGCAGTAAAGAAAGATTTTATTCAGAAATTATTGCAATGCAGGAAAAGAGACTTTAGTAGAGAAATGAGCTCAATTCCAAATACAAGCACACATGGAAATTTATAGCAAAAGAGCAGTGTGAGGGGGTCAGTGGATGGAAAATTACTAAGAGGAGACATCAAAAGTAGGGGAACTCTTGCTAAAACACATTAACAGGATTCTTGCTGAAGACAGCTCAGGGTGATCAGATATCAAGAGTCTCTCTATATGGACTTAAGGATTCTTGTTAAAAGTGAGCTATGGAGACTAGGCAAGGGGCCTAGGTGAAGATCTAGTTGAGAGGAGAGCTCAAAAATCTGACTAAAGTTTGATGAAGGAGAGAGTCTTTGTCAGTATTTGTGTTAATTTTTTTTAATTACTAAAAGTGAGGCTTATTTGCATTCTTCAAGGACTTACCAATTAATAAGCTATGTTAAAATCTCCAGTTTTAATGTCTATTTCTTCTTTCAACTTCTGTTATTTCTGCTTTATGAAAATTGTAATTTTGTGTATGTTATTAATATATATTTTATTTTTAATGTAGAATGAAGCATGATTCCTTCTGTAGAATAAATTTCCCTTCCTTATCCTGTTAAATTTATTTTGTCTTAAATTCTATCTTGTCTCATAGCAAAATTCTGACAACTATTTCAGGTTCTTGCTATCATACAAGATCTATCTTTGCTCTTCCTTTTACATTAAACCATTCTGAATTGCCTTGTTCAATATGTTTCTTGCACACAGAATAGATTGGATTCTGCTCCATTAGCCAACCTAAAAGTACACCATTTAATGGTGAGTTAAGCCCATTTGTGTCTTTGATATACCTGTTATGCTGGTGTTAAGTTCTGTTATGTAAGTTTTTGCTATATAAATAATTTATATAAAATCTTGCCCTGTATTTACACTTTAATTTGAGGGGCAGGATATACTCATTTGGTATTTATAAATGTTTCTATGTTTATTCTTTTTATTATCTTATAATAATATTATAATAAAATATACTAGTCCTCTAGTGTGTTTTAATACTTTCTATTGATTTCTTCAATGAGTAGTAATACTGTTCTCTAGTAAACTCTCTTTCCTTTCTTCTCTCTTTTTGCTTAACATTTACTTTAATTCCATATTTTTTTAATGGCAGTTAGATACTCCTGAGATAGTCATTAAGATTCGTCTACTTTCTTTTTCTTCTCCTTTTTTATGTTTGTTGTTGAGTTGCATTATTTCTTCATGTTTAACACACTTAATAGCATCATGTTTTGTCACTTTAATCCCCATTACTTGTTCTTAATTATAAAATTAAACATATTTAGTCCTTATCCAGAAGCTTCACATGATGTTTGTCTTCTTGTCAGTAGGTAGGACATTTCTAAAAAAGCCATCACAGGAACAATGTTTTTTAAAATCATGAATATTCATGATGTTCTACATACCTTAGACATGATTCATAGTTTGGATGAATAAAATCTCATCTCGCTACTGTGTTATCTGTTTCATAATCATTAAACCATTTCTTGATTACCATCCTGTATAAAATGTTGCTATCAAGAAGTCTATTATCAATATAAACTTCTTATCCTTTTACCTTCATGCTCAAATAATTAATATTATTTTTTATTTTAATTTTTGTTCTTAGAAATAACCATTACATGGGTATTACTATTCTTTGCCTAAGTTCTATGCTTAGAAAATTTTTAGATGTTTTTAATCTCTCAATTTCTGTTTTTTACTCTTATTTTTATACTCTATATCTCTTACTATAGTTTGTACCACTTCTATTTGATTTTATGTACCTTCAAATTATTTTCTTTTCTAAAATTTATTTTCTAAAAATTATCTTACTTGTCTCAGATTATCTGATTCTCTGATTAATTTTGATTTTGTTCCAATTGTTTTTCTTCAGGGTAAGTATTTTTCTTTTGGGAGTGAGCATTATTGATGATTTCTTGTTGTAGTTTATTGATATTAAGATCTTACAATACTTCCTTTTATCTTCATTTTATCTTTGCCATTAACTCCAGCTGGTACTGGCCCTATGCTGCCAATGATTAGGACAATTACTCTTGTATTCTGGGTTTTATGCTGATTATTTGTCACCTGTTTTAGTTGGTGATGTCACCCATGGGTTTTTCAGTTACTTCTCCTAACTCCTCTGCCTGGTGTTTGGTACAGATCCAGACATAAATGAAAGAAAAGGAGATAGATAGACAGATGGATAGATAGATGATAGATAGATTGATAGATAGGATAGATTAGATAGATAAATAGATAGATAGATACATATTTACATATGTACTTACATACCATAGTTTGCTGCTGAGAGTCTCTCCAGTTTATTTTATTTAATATTCTCATAATCTAGAAGCTATTCTTTACAATGATAAAATAATTCAACTCTCAGGCAATACTGAGCAAAATATAGCGTAACTAATATCTCAACATACTTGACCCTATATTTTATATGAAAATAAATGAGGCCAGGCGCAAAGGCTCATGCCTATAATCCCAGCACTTTGGGAGGCCGAGGAGGGTGGATCACTTGAGGTCAGGTGTTCGAGACTAGCTTGACCAACATGGTGAAATCCCGTGTCTACTAAAAAAACCCACAAAAATTAGCCAGGCATGTTGGTGCATGCCTGTAAGCCCAGCTGCTTGGCAGGCTGAGGCAGGAGAATTGCTTGAACCTGGGAGGTGGAGGTTGCAGTGAGCCGGGATCATGCCATTGCACTCCAACTTGGGCAACAAGAGCAAAAAATCTCTGAAAAAAAAAAGAGTAAAACACTGGTTGCTCTCTGTTTTAGTAATATGTAATTTATTAGGTAAATGTGATACATATTAAGTAAAGCGGGATTTTTCTTAGAGAGGATATTTATCTCTATTGGGGTAGCAAAATAAATATGTATAGATTGAATGAATTTGTCTCCCTTTAGGTTTAAATGAGAAATGGGTGTGTGTTTTTTTTTTGGCCTATTCTTATTTTTCCTGGCTTATTCATATTCTAATTCCTCTTGTTTATATAATTATTCACTTTGATCACCTCATATATTTTATCTTTTTCGGGTGGCCTAAAAGCAAAAATATTCTTACAGTCTAGTCAGCATTTGCTGTGCTTTCTTATTATTGTACTTGTTTAGCACAAACTTGATGCTGATTCTACTTCTCATTCTTCATGACAAAACAAGTGGAAAAAATATCTGGGAACTGGCTCTATGACATGGCTAAATAACACTAATATGAGTCTTGTGCTCTTAATCTATAAAATGGGAATAATAAAAATAGCAAGTCTGTAATCACTGCTGTATGAAAACCCCGAGTTTTATGAGTGCTTCTGGGAATACCTAGTAAAGAAAACATATCTGTGTGCTTTATCTTTTAATAGTTAAAAACAGTTTTGACAATAAGTAGTTTATATTTATTAGTTATTATAATACATATAATTGTAAATAGTTTATAGGTATTAGTTATTATAATATACATGTACATATAACACATTCATATAAACTATAAGTAGTTTATACGTATTAGTAATTATAATACACCTATTATAATAACTAAGAATAGAAAGGCAATGTAGAAACTAAGAGTTATATAATACCCATAGTAATTAATCAATAAGCAAACACTATTTTTAGTATTTTTATACTATTTGTATATGTATTCATTACTTTATGTATATAATTCTTTATATAATTCTTAGGTTCTATAATACCTTTATTCTGTATATTTTGAATTATGTATTTAATAGCCTAATATATTTCTAATTTGCAGAAAACAAGGAAAATTGTCTTCCTTCAATTATTATAAGTAAGCATTTCTTTATCCAGGGAGGCTAAAAGGCAAGATCATAACAAGCTATTATATGGAAAATTATTTCTTCAAAATATTCCTTTTAAAATTGAGGCAACAGAATCATTTTTCCCTCTCATTGTATGTTTAATTTAAAATTGTTTCAACAACAATATGTAGATTGCCAGTACAAGTTCTCAGGTGTAACAAGACTCACATTTCTTTGTTATACAATACAATATAAATATAAAGTAAAACATTATATTAAAATGAAAGTTTTATAATATTTAGACATTAATATCTCAGCCTTTCATTAGCATATTATTTGAAGAAAGGCATTCACTTTTTCACAGGTTACTTCCTTGCTCCTGAAAATGACGATGTTCTATTTTCTACTATTTCTGTCTAAAAATTTAAACAGGTTAGTATATCCTCTGCATAAATGCTACAAAATACAATGCACAGTAATTTTGTTAAAATTACTAAATGTTAGTAAAAAATTTGATTAGTTTTCTTAATAATTGTTTCCTTATTTTTCATATCTATATATGCAATCATTCTAAAGTTAAGAACTGACTACTCTCTTGATAATGGAGAAATCTTTCAACACACAAAAACAAAATTTTTATTGTCTTTTAAATAGGTCCTGAGAAGAGGATTAGAAAAAGGCAACACATCAAAAAGTTAAGAGGCAGAAATAGCTTTTATCTTGCTGGTAAATTTAATGAGATCTTAAGTTATTCGACTGGCAAGTCTCATCTCTTTGAGCATCTCAGTGAAGACTGTCAGAAATCATCAAAATTCAACACAACAGAGTAAAAGCTAATAGACTTTTTGTTATACCAAAACTGAAAGGATTGGTAAGACTCAAAATGAATGCTATTACTGAAAATCTTCTTTTATCTAATTCTTTGTGCAGTGAGTGAAAATTGAACAAATACATATCCTTTTTATGGTGTTAAAATGAATTCTGACACTATTAAACAAATATTCTTTGGTCCTAAGACCTCCTCAATACTTCTTTCACAAGCAGTATTATTAGAATATCCTATGTGACTCTAGTTCATAATATTCTGGCTATCATTTGATTATTTTCTGTGAAATAAAAATGAAGCACTCTATTTTTTAAAAAATACTGTGTTTTGATGAAAGAAGTTTTTGAGTGGTTATCACATTAGATAAATTTTTATTGTAATCAACCTTTGATAATTTCTGACATGATTAATATTTATCTTATTTTCTAGATATTCTTAAGTAACAAAAAGCAATAAAGATAAAATACAGGACATCAAAGATATCACATACATTCATATATCTCAAGAAATGAAAGCAATGAAAGAGCTGTGCTATGATCCATATTTTTTGTTTATTGACAACTAATGCAAAATTCCAAACAATAATGAAGCAACTACAGATTTGGGGAAAATAGTAAATCAGAAAGAGCAATTGAGAGAGCCTTTTAGAAAAAAGTTTTCTCCTTTGGAATTATGTTACATTTTGAGTAATTATTATGATATTCAACCATTAATTTATACATTTGTTTTTAATTTAACATATATTTTGAGTACTAAATATATCAGGCACTATTATAGGTGCTTGTGCTAATTAACAACCAGTTTTCTAGAATGTGTAAAGTGCCATAGAAAATACCTCTTGGGTTCTATGCTCACTACCTGGATGATGGGTCCAGTCATACCCCAAACCTCAGCATCATGCAGTATACTCTGTAACAAACCCTGACATATATCCTCAAATCTAAAAGTTGAAATTAAAAAAAATAAAAATAAAAAACAAATAATTATATTAAGTATATTAACCAAAACAAAACTAAGTGATTCCGTTTTAGAAAAAGAATTTAGAAATGAGGGGCAGTGGAGACTAGAATAACACTTATGGTGTTCAATCAGAATCAAAACTATCAATATATACTTAAGTTTACTTTTTTTCTACGTTAGATAGAAATTGAAAAGAATGTGTAGATATATAAATAGACCTAGATGCACATGTTTGTGTGTGAATGTGTATATATATATATATATATATATTTTTTTTTTTTTTTTTGAGATGCAGTCTTTCTCTGTCGCCCTGCTTGGAGTGCAGTGGCCCGATCTCGGCTCCCTGCAAGCTCTGCCTCCTGGATTCATGCCATTCTCCTGCCTCAGTCTCCCAAGTAGCTGGGACTACAGGCACCTGCCACCACGCCCAGCTAATTTTTTTGTATTTTTAGTAGAGACGGGGTTTCACCGTGTTAGCCAGGATGGTCTCGATCTTCTGACCTCATAATCCGCCCATCTCGGCCTCCCAAAGTGCTGGGATTACAGGTGTGAGCCACAGCGCCCGGCCGAATGTGTGTATATTTCTTAATTTTAACCACTAAGACTAGAAGCAATAACATTTTAATAGCAATCAGCACATCTAGCATTCAAATCTTGGATTCACTTTTTTCTTCTTTAAAAGGATACAGAGCTCCTTGGATCAATGCCTGATCCTAGGTGCATGGGGCAGAAAGAACAAAATGGGTCTGAGACGTCTGTTGTTGTTAAGAATATAAGGAAGTCTCAACTAATGATGGAGACATGCCAAAGAACATAGGAGCTAACTAGAAGTGGCTCTCAGTGACCCAAACTGAGATAAATTGAGCAAGGGAATAAATAATGATGGCAATAGATTATTCAGATTAATTAAACCAAATACACATGAATCCACACTAATATAAATAAATAATTGGATAAATAAGAAAAGTGGGACAAAGGAAAGCTTTTCCATACAGTAGAATTCTAATCAATAAATACAGAAAGAATAGTGGAAATAGATTCTCATTTCTTGGCAAATACCATATAATTGTTGCAGACAAGTCTGCTAAAATTAGTGGATACGATTATGAGGAACAAGATATTTACATAATCTCCAAGTATCTCTCAACAAAATACTGATTTTAAAAATGGTAACTTTGAAGTGGAGAAATGTGGCAGACAATATCTTATTCAAGTGATCAGAGTTAACGTCAACAATATTAGGACACAATGATATCATGTGCTTCCTGATATGATGCAATGAGAAGGACAACCTCCGCATTGTGGCATTCTTGCCAAAATATATTATGTGAATTTAACCATGAAGAAATATTAGAAAAAAAATCAAACTTCAGAATAATCTACAAAAAACAAGTATCAAGGGCATGAAAGACAAAAAGAAAAGCTGAATTTTCTTTTTTAACATTTTTTTTTTTTTTGAGATGGAGTCTTGCACTGCTGCCAAGGCTGGAGTGCAGAGGCGTGATCTCTGCTCACTGCAAGCTCCGCCTCCCGGGTTCACGCCATTTTCCTGCCTCAGCCTCCCAAGTAGCTGGGACTACAGGTGCCCACCACCACGCCAGCTAATTTTTTGTATTTTTAGTAGAGACGGGGTTTCACCATTTTAGCCAGGATGGTCTCCATCTCCTGTCCTCGTGATCCACCCGCCTCGGCCTCCCAAAGTGCTGGGATTACAGGCATGAGCCACCGCACCCGAGTAAAGAAAACTAAAGAAATGTAGCAGATAAATGCAATATGTGACCCTGATTTTGATCCTAGTTAAAAAACATTAGTGGAACCATGAACAAAATATGTAAATAAGGTCTGTAGGTACGTAACTAATTCCATATCAATTTCCTAATGTGAGTAACTGTACTCTTAGATATGGTGTTAGCAGTCAAGAAGCTGGGTGAATAATATATAGGAATTCTTGATTTTTTAAAATATATTTTTGTAAGCTTTAAAGTAGTTCAAAATGAAAATTTTAAAATAAAATGAATAAAAAAGAAAAAGGATAGTGTGGATCTTCTGAAGTATTTTGCTAAATATGAAATTCATGGTCCATCCCTGAGGTCTTTTATATTACAGTGTTTAAGATATAAAATAAATGTAAAGAAAACCAAAGAATGATCAATAGTGATGAAAGTTATCACTATTTCTGGATAAACCATGTTCTACGATAGCACATAACTGGTGATAGCTTGGAGTCATGCGAAGACCTCTCCAAGAAAATGAAATGTAAAGTGATGACTTAAATATGGAAAAGGAACCATTTGATTAACAAGCCAAACTATGAAGCTTCAAAGACAAGATGTTACCTTGTGCAAAACCCTGACATGGGGAAAAACTGTGTTTCAAGAGTGGAAAGAGCCCTGTCTCATTAGGAGTGAGGGTCTTGAATGGTGCCTGTGGCTGTAGACAGCAGAGCAGAGCTTTAGCATCCTGGAGATTTGTAATTGTACTCCACAAGCAACTAAAGGATTTAAGGCAGAGGAGGGAAAGAATCTTGCTTACATTACAAAAAATAAAAAAGAAAAAGAAGAAATAAAAAAATAGAAAAAAATGTAATATATATTATTATTATTACATTGGTTTATAGTAATTGGTTTATATCTAATTTGTTTCCCTGTGTTTATAATACATATATATCTCTGCCTCTTAAACCAAGAATAATTTTTACAGGGACAAGAATAAACACAAGGAAATGAATTAGAAAACTATTAAAGTGAAAGGACAAGAAGGTGGAGACCTTGTTCAAAATAATGAAATACATATTTAAGATATGTGCAAGTTTGAAGAAAAGAGCTACTGATAGGGTTTTGGTGTATTAGATAAGATAAAATCAATGGGAACACCAGCTGAAGTAAACAAACAAGCATACACACACAAACTGGGAAGCAGAGAAAATAACAAAACTCTACTTAAAACATTATGAATTTCAGTTGTCTATAAAACAATCCACATTTGATATTAAGTAAGTGGATGACTATGCAAAGCTCTAACTCAGAGAAGATACCAAAATTGGAAATATTCTGAGATGCTATCATGTAACTGGCCTTTAAACCCATGAAAATGCTTGAGAACACTCAGGGGAAAAAGTGAGTAAGTAGAGAAAAAAGAAAGTACTCAGCTAAGTGGGTTGAAGACAGTACAGGAAATATTGAAGGAGACTGTCTATTGTTTGATTGATTTCTTTCAAAGAAAGAATACAAAGTAAGTTGATAACTGAAGGACAACGGAAGGTCAATGTAAACTTTTAACAAAAAGGGAATTATTCATTAATGAGAATGATAATACTAAAATGAGAGGGAGAGCTAAGGGACAGAATTTACTTAATATTGGGAGATCTAATCAATTTAGCATAAGACGTGGTAACTTTGTAGAAGTTTATTGTTATGAATGCTGTGGGAGTGAATGCATTGGGAAACTAAAATAGAATGTTTGGCACTGTTGAGTATCCTTTTAAGTTTTGTAATGAATTGAAATCATGTTATTAGTTACAACGTGGATGAGCCTGGAGGACATTATGTTAAGTGAAATAAGACAGGCACAGAGAGAGAAAAACCACATGTTCTCACTTATATGTGGGAGCTAAAAATGAGCTTATAAAAGTAACAAGTAGAATTGCAGTTATCAGAGGCTGGAAAGGATGGGAATAAGAAGAGGATGGAAAGAGGTTGGTAAGCAAAGTTAACTTTGTAACAAAGTTGTAGCTAGAAGGGAGGAATAGCTCTAGTGTTCTGTAGCACTGTAGGGTGAATTAAGTTAACAATAATTTAGTGAATTTTTTTAAAAACCTACCAGAGAGAATTCTGAATATTCACATCACAAGGAAATGACAAATGTACAAGGTGATAGATATGCTAATTACTCTGATTAGATTATTTCATATTGTATACATGTATCAAAATATCACTCTGTATCCCATAAATACATATAATTATGTGCCCACTAAAAATAAAGAAAAAATAGAATTCAAAATATAATCAATCTTCAACAAAAGCTTGTTAAATTAAGACAAAGAAACTATTGAAAATGATTTTTAATTCTGAATTTAAATTAAAATAATCTAGCTTAATTATGTCATTTCCCCCCAGAATTCTTAAGCTTTTTGGATGCTAGCCCATTAAAAAAAAGAAAAAATTTGGAATCATATTGTTTACTCTAATAACCTAGTCTAAATCATGATTCTAGAGAGAAGTGGTAAAGACTCAAATTGTTATTATTTAGAAACTTAGCCTTCTGAAGGCAATATTAGGGAAAAAGAAATCTAGGCCACAATGAGAATGAGAGTAATTTAAACAGGAAAAGGAAGAATCATAGAGATTATTGAAAATGCCATCAACTAAGCATAATTCAAACAGAAGACAACATATATATATATATATATATATATATATATATATATATATATATTTTTTTTTTTTTTTTTTTTTTTTTCACCTAGGATTAGTAAATCAAGAAAATTGTATTACAATTTTATTGGATGGTGAGTTCTATAATATAATAAGTATAAAAAAAGAAGTAAAAGACTTGACATATACCATAATAAAATATTTAATAAGAACATATCTAGTAAGTACATAGAAATATATAAATAAAAACAGCTTTATTCAATAAGTATTTGTGACTATTATATATCTTATCTCATTTATCTTCACATTATTTTTGTAGGATAAATATTACTAATTTGATGTGTTGGTTGCAAAAAGGGTAATGTCACTGAAAGAAGTCAGATAGCCTGATTAAGGTTTTACATTCAGTCATTGTGACAAATATATAATGAGAACACAATTTCTCTTATTATATCAAACTACCTGCTAAACAACAAAAGGAGTTTGATGATTTAATTACATATACTTTATCTTAATTCCCAAAGTGTATTAATATGGAAGGGCATTCTTTGTTGGTACTTGATGAGGTAAGAATTAAGAATTTAAAACTTATTGGTATAAACATATACCTAATTTAAATCATTTAAGTTATGATATATTAAGCTAATACATGCTTGAATTTGTTACTACTTTTGAAAAATTCTGTGTCTCCCCACACCTTCCTCATTCCACTTCGCTAGTTATTATGTTTCTTTTTTAATTTATGAAGATGGAATATAATGCCCAATTCATAATACTGTTTTTCAGGTACAAAGTTGGCATAGACAATACTGAAATACATGTGATGACATTTACAGTAGCAATTCAAATTAAAAGAGAAAAGCATCTTTCTAAACCATCTTCAAGTAAACACTTGCCATTTATTTCTACTAGCAAATATTTCTATGTATCCTAAAAATTAAAAGTGATATACATTGAGTAAGACTTTACAGTACTCAGAATACTATAATGGAAAAATATGTATTTGATATGTTTTCCTGCCATTTCACTATCTAGAAATTGTCCTAATCCTTAAAAGAGATCATTAGTTAGCCACTGAAATCTCAGGGGAAAAGCTGTTAAAACTGACAGCTACATTTTTTAACACTACACATATAGACAACTCAGAGTTTAAATGCATTGGATTTGTAATCTCTCTGTTATTTAGAAGAGGTGCTGTATAGGTGAAGGACTCATTTTGTGAACCTTTCTTAGTATATCAGCTAATTTATTCTTAGAACATTTCTAGAGAAAGAAAAACAGCAAGAGATCATCAGAGAATTAAAAAAGGGTATTATAAAAATGAGTTAAAATCATTTAAAGTAGCAGTTTATTTTTTCAGAAAAGAATTTTAAGCCTCTACATATTTATGAAGAAGAATGGAAACTCTTGAACAACAGTCATGAAAATTTAAAATACAGATCTGATAAAAAATTCCTCTGCCTGTTTTATCAAATGTGTTTAGATTGGAAATAAATGGGGAGTTTGTTTCATAGCTCCCCTGGGTTGGAGGTAAAAAGTTTCTATTCCTTAGGAAATGGAATAAAATAAATTGGTTAAAAGAACTTTTGAGATTCATTCGTCCATAGCATTCTAAAATAGGAATTAGCTTAGAAAGGTCATCGATGACCAAAATTATCTGAGTTTGGTGGAGATAAAAAAGCAAGACTGAAAGTTATATATTTTTTTCAAGCAATGTTTGAATGGATAAAGTACAGAAGGAGAAAAATGGTTGCATTTCTATGCATTGAAAATGCTTATTTGGTTTTCTTTTAAGCTTGTTGTTTCAAATGGCCCACTTAAATTTACTGACCCTATACCAAATAAATTAATCTCACTTTTCACACTGCTATCCCTCTAGTTTCTTGCCTCAATTTATTCCAGAATGACATTCTACATTTATTCAATAAGTACTCAGAGGGATGTGTTATGTGCATGGCATTCAACTAACCATTAGTTGGACAAGACAAACTAAGTAAAGCATATCTTTCCTGCCTTCTTAAAGTTTGCAGTTTAATTATCTTGATTTCGAGCCTCATTCTCTTACATTTTCACTAATTTTCCATATTTTTTCTAAGTCTCTGAAAAGTTTGGATAGTGAATTCCATCACTTTTATATTAGCTAAGCTCTCATTGGCTTTCTAACTCAATTTATCACATGGATATTGACTTTCAACCATGTTTTCTTTTTTTTCTTTTTTTTTTTTCTTTTGAGATGAGTTTTGCTCTTGTTGCCCAGGCTGGAGTGCAATGGCGTGATCTCGGCTCACTGCAACCTCTGCCTCCAGGGTTCAAGCGATTCTCCTTACTCAGCCTCCCAAATAGCTGGGATTACAGGTGTGCACTACCATGCCTAGCTAATTTTGTATTTTTAGTAGAGACCATGTTTCTCCATGTTGGTCAGGCTGGTATTGAACTCCTGATCTTGTAGTCCCCCCGCCTCGGCCTCTCAAAGTGCTAGGATTACAGATGAGAGACACTGTGCCTGGCCTCAACCATGTTTTCAATTCTGAAAACAACTAAGAAGTATATGACCGTTCTTACCTTCAAATAAATACAATTTTAGTCTAAATCATAAAAGGACTCTATATAGGTAAATTCATCATAAGTTAGGAAGTACAAGTGGAATGAAAAGTTGAAAAAAATGGCATAGTACGTGAGTATGAAAGGATACGGAATTAAAACCCATCTAGAAGATTCAGTAAAATATATGGCTTCCTTTTTATCCAAATAATTTTAGAAATTTTCCCTCCAACTTCCACACTTCTATGGCATTCAATTCCCATCTTTATTTTATTTTGTCTTATATTTTCTTTTACCTTCTGTCTTTACTTTCCCTTCTTGTTGAAGTAATTATTTCCTAGAAACATAGATCTTCATAAAGGTTATTATTGATTTAACATCTAAAGTTATCATATAATAGGAGCTAGATTATGTTATCTAGCAATTTATCAATTGCAAAAATTTCACCCAATTGTAATTTAGAAAAAGTGTCAAACCCCCTAATAAGTTGCAAGAATAACAAAACTAATATTCAAATGCATGCAACTCAATCCATAATCCATGTTTGTGTGTGTAAAGTTTTTTTTTTTTTTTTTTGAGACTGAGTTTTGCTCTTGTTGCCCAGGCTGGAGTGCAATGGTGCAATCTCGGCTCACTGTAACCTCCGCCTCCCAGGTTCAAGTGATTCTCCTGCCTCAGCCTCCTGAGTAGCTGAGATTACAGGCATGTGCCACCACACCCAGCTAATTTTGTATTTTTAGTAGAGACTGGGTTTCTCCACATTGGTCAGGCTGGTCTTGAACTCCCGACCTCAGGTGATCTGCCCGCCTCAGCCTCCCAAAGTGCTGGGATTACAGGTGTGAGCCACCACCCCAGCTAAATTTTTTAACTTATTCAAAAATCAGTTGTATACATCACTATAATATATATACATATATATACATATGTATAATATGTATATATCACTATAATATATCACAGGGATAAGCAAATTATTTCTATAAAGAGCAATATAACAAATATTTTAGGAGTGTGTGTCTGTGTGTGTGTAAACTTTTGAGCTTATTCAAAAAGTAGTTGCAAACATTATTATGAGTCACAGTGTCAGCAAAGTATTTATTTCTATAAAGGGTAAGACAGTAAATATTTTAGGCTTTGGGAACATTGTAGAAGTCTCTGTCACAACTGCTAAACCCTGTTGTAACAAGAAAGTAGACAATATGCAAACAAATGGCTGTGGCTACAATATTATCAACTTTATTCATAGACACAAATGTTAAATTTTGTTAATTTTGTGTTACGAACTATTATTCTTCTGTTGATATTTTTGTATTATTCAAAAAATATAAAAACATTCTTAGCTGCAGGTTGTACAAAAACAGGCAATAGGACAGGTTCAGTGTATGGGCTGAAGTCTGCTGAACCCTGTGGTTCAACTATAAATATTACAGTATATAGCTGCTAATAGCAAGAGCAATGTCCTATTTATACACAAGAAAATTATCACGGGTGGAAATTATATTAAATACATTTTAATCATGCAAGTTATACAGGAATGTAGTACTTTTGAAAAAATCAAACGATTACCAGTAAATCTATTGTGTGTTTGTTCATCCCCAGAAGGCCGTTATTATCAGTGTGGTTTGTGTATTTCCAGACATTTTCCAAAGCAATCACATAAGTTTATTTTAAAAATGTATTCTCACATATTTTACTGATAAACCATTTAAAAGTAAATGTGCAAACAATAGTTCTGCAATTCTTTAATAAGAAACATGCTGGAGACAAAGAAGGCAGGTTTTTTGGTAACCATATAACTGGCTAACCTCTTGGCAAACAAACTAAGAAGTTTCCAGGAAGGAATATCTGACCTACAGAATGCTTTTAGAAGAATGTATGTGCTGTGATTTCTTTTCTAGAGTTGTTTATAATAAAACCTAAATCTCTTTGACTCATGGGGCATAATTTCCTGGACCATCTAAAGACAAAATGAGATATTTTGTGATCTAAATATCTCCTCTGTGTAAGTGAGATGACCGCACATCTTACTCAGAATCATCATCTATTATCCTTGTTCAAAGCATATCTGATGTGGGAGGAAAGGACCCAGGGATTCTCACAGTGCTATCTGACCTTACCTTGCTCCACCTGTACCTCACAATAATTTTTATCCATAAAATTATTAGTTAAGTTTGCATAAGATCTCCGATGCATGTGAGTCTCATTTGATAATCTAATACTTTGTGTATTTTTAACCACAATAATGTGTTTTTATTTTTCAATTTAATATGTATTGGAAATCTTAGTGATTCAACACATGTTAATCTTTATCATTTCTTTAACTCTTAGATATATCATATTTACTTAGCCATTTCTCTATTGGTGGACATTTAATCTATTTAATGGGCTTTTGACTATTTTTAAAAAGCTGTAATTGACATCCTATTGCATTTTTTTGCACATATGTTAGTATTTCGTAAGACAGATGATGAGTTAAGGAAAATTGTGTGTATAAGTTATTCACATTGTAAAATTTAATAGATATCAAAAATTTTCATCTAAAGTGGTCTTAAATTACAGATGTCAATTTGATATTATTAAACTTTGAAATATTTTGCTAAACCCATGGATTGAAAGTATAATTTTATGAAATCTTAGGTACCACAGGAAGAAGTATAAATTAATACAACTGATTTGAAAAAAAGTTAGTCTGTGATTAAATAAATATCCACATATGTTTGCTCCTAAAATTCCTTGGATAGTTATATGTTGTAGATAAACTTATGCATATAATTCTGAGAGCATATGTCCAAGTATTTTCATATTGACTTTGCTCCTAAGCACCCAAACTTTAAAATAACACAGATGTATATAAGGAATAAAATAGAAAATTATCATCTATATAAACAATCAAATATTATAGAGCAGTGAAAATGAATAAATTACAACTGCTTGCAACAACAGGGCTGTCACTCATAAACATATGTTGAACAAAAGGAGTGTGGCACAAAATAATACAGAAAGAGGATTTCATAGTAATTATCAAAGCAGGCCAAAAAAAACTAAGGTATGTTGTTCAGAGATGCATACATGCTATAACTTTTTGAAGCACAGCAAAAAAATTATACATAAAACTTAGGGTGAGAGGAGCTTCTTTTAGGAAGGGACACTTTGGGGAGTCTGGGGCACTGATACAGTCTAATTCCTGGCCTAGTTTGGTTTACATGGGTTAGCTTTACAACCTGAATACATTTAAGCTTTACGGATGTCTTTGATACATGCTTTTGCGTCTCAAAATAAAAGGTTCTATTGTTTAAGTTTAATTTGTTTTAATTGATTATTGAAAAATTTAATTATTTTTAAAATTTTAATTAAATTAGTTTAAATAAATAATTAAGGTCTTTAGAACTAATCTCTTGATTCTTTCAGTAAGTACCTATTTTTACATTTTCCCACTTTTCTATTGATATATTTTTATTTTTCTAAATTATTTATAGATTTGTTTTGGTATACATAGTTTACGTATTTTCTCTTAGTAAAAAATATGTAGTAAAACTATTTTGCTAGAAGTGAAGACTTTAAATTTAAGTTAGCCAAATTAATCAATTTTTTTCCAGGCTATTTATTTTTTAGTCTTGCTTAAAAAGGCAAAATGGAGGCATACATTAGGTAAATATATTGAGAATGGGAATTTGAATCAGAAAGAAAAGGCAGCGATCAGTTGGAAATATCTGAATACATATTGCCTAATGGGCATGTCCTCTCTCTGACAAAAAGCCTGATCTGACTGCAAATGAGGCAAATTGTGGCCTGTAGCAGCATGAACCTCCTTCTCCACCAAAGGATTGCTCAGTAATAACAGTCTAGCAGAAACTCACCTTGAAAAAAAATGTAGACAACATGAAAAAAAGAACGAAAGGAAGAAAATCAACAGTCATTCGGAGAAGTGCCATCATTTTAAGTGCATAGGGTAAGATTTAAAATAACGTAAAGCAAATGAAAGATGTATAAAATACAAAAGAAAGACAGCAGAGAGCAATAAATAGAGTACTTCCAAATAAGTAGAATTAATATTCTCAGGGGAATGCCAGAAGTTATTGCATCCATTAATAAAGAAGAGGAAAGCTAAAAATGAGATCATTGAAGTAATGATGGATATATAATCTCTCAATAAATAATGATGAATTGCATATATAGTAAAAAGAAGGCTGAAATATTTTTAAGCATACGCTTACATACTAAAATAAATGAGGTCAAATGAACAATACAAATACACTTCTTTTTGGACACTGACTTCTACTTGCACCTGCAGTTCTAGTCCTCTCTTTTCCACTACACTTTCTGATCTTCTTAGTATGAATTCCAACAAGAGGCTTCCTTTTCTTCTGACTGCTGAGTGAATTCAATGAGTTAAAGTGAATGATTTGTATTCTCAGGAAAGCAGAGAGCAAGATCAAGTATTTTTAACACTGGCTTCCCACGGGTGATTGGCTTTGTCCCTTAAGCTTAGGTGGTTGCTCTTTTCCTGATGAGTCTACTTTATCCTAAAGTTAGTAAACTTGCTTTGTCACTGGCCCTTTCAAACTAGGGGTGATAAAAATCACTCTAACCAAAGGTTACTGCAGTCTCTTGTGTTCTTTCTCATCCCTTCAACAGCTTTGCAAAGAGTCTCCAAACCCTCTCTGCATTATCCTTATTAAATTGCACTATCAGTTTCTTTATATGACCCCAACAAATACATGAATCTCCTAGTTAAGGAAACTGATAGACTAAGAGTACTTTTCTTTCGTGTTCAAAGCTAGAAGGTAAGTATTTTCTAATAATGTGAAGCAGTTGAAATGACAATTTGGGTTAGAGCTGTGCTGTGGACTACAGCTATTTGAAAGTACAGTTTTATTTTTATGACAGTTTGCTCTCTGCTGTCTGGGATATTTACATTTTCCTTTCCTATGGAGAAGGTCAGAGTATGATTGATTCAACATTAAAAATAACTTTAGATTGTTTAAAGTGAGGATGTTCTAAATGATAATATTTGTGAAGTCCTCTATTTTGATATTTTTCACTTAAGATCAGTGATTTAGAAATCAAGTGAAAATCTTGTTACCATTTGAATGAACATACTGATATTAATAAAATGATAAGTACTTTACATGATCATCCAAGTTAGATTTTGACAGAATGCCTAGGGTCTTGGAGTACCCAGCTTTTGGCAATTCCTGGCTCTCTTTTTCATATTCAAATTTGTAAAGAAAGTAGAGAAGAGTAAATGTGTGTAGGTGTCTTCCTCCTGGAAGTAGGCACAAACTGCATGGAAAACCAACCAAAAAATGGTAACAGAAAAATATGATAACAATTTATTTAAAAATAAAATTCTTAGACTTTGTCATAACTAGAAGACTATCTAGAATTGTGAATGAAGTAAGGACCCCAAATAAAGACGCGTTTCTAATTCTTATATTTCTGGCCCATGCGGCAAATATTGGGTATGCTAGATGGAAGAAAAGGTGTTCAATATATAACATCCTCTTCCATATCTCAGTTTTGATTCTATTAAAATTAATACAAGGAATATAGCAGAATAGTGAGAAACAAACACATTTAGTCTGATATAGGGGATGCAAATGAATTTGATTTATATTCATGGCAGTTGAGCCTTCTAATATTGAATTCCAGAGTTAGTGCAGAAGCAAAGAATGTGTGCCTTCTGTGAGTGATTCCTAAATAAAAAGAACAGAGGCATATGTTTTTAACAAGTACTTATGTGGGATTCATAAAATTAATTTTTATATTATCCTCTCCCCTATCAACAAATTGTTAGGGACACCATGTCCGTGTTTTAAATGTTTATTAAAATTGCGTTGTATTTTAATCTCAACAATATCAATATAGATTTAATCCTCAGTCATGTATATCAACTTTTGTGAAAATTAATTTTATTTTCTTTCACTGGCATAAGTTTAATAGTTATTCAAAAAAAAAAAAAAACTCCTGGATTTTTTATTCCCCTGACTTTTTAAATGTTTAAAAGATGGCTGTTTCTTACCTTCATGTGATTAGGGGACCTTATGTTAAATTCTTGAGTTATGCTTTCTGCAGACTTTAGGTAGACAGAGTTTCACTGGTGAGGTAAATTTTTTTAAACTGTGAAATGCACAGATCTAAAGTTTACAATTCAATAACTTTGGACAAATACAAAGACCCATATAATCAATACCGATTCAAGCTACAGGCATTTTCCTCACCTCAAAAATTCCTTCATGCCTTTCCACGTAAATCTCATTCACACATCAAATCTTTAATCCATTCTTATTTTCATAACCATGGATTAGTTTTGCCTCTTCTGGAATGTCATATAAATGGACCTTTATGCCATGTAATTTTTTTTTAATTTGTCCAACATAATAAGAATAGATATTCAACTTTTTTATTTTATTCAATATAATATTTTATAGAGGCCCAGACATTTTGTTACACGTCAATATCTGATTTGTTGTTGTTGTTGTTAATTCTGAGTACTGTAGTGTCCACTGTATGAATATATACAATTCGTGTATCCATTCCTTTATTGAAGGTTGTTTGGGTTGTTTCAAGGTTTAGTTTTAAGAATAAAACTGTTCTAATAAGTTTTGAATAAATCTTTGTCGTGGCATCAGTTATTATTTCTTTTGTATACATAACAGAGAAAAAACTTACTGGGTCAAAGAAAAATATATTTTAAACTTTATAAGAAAATAATTAAGTGTTCTCTGGAGTGTTTGCCCCATTTTACACTCTTAAGAAACAAAAAGACTTCCAGTTGCTACATGTCTATAATTTTTGGTATTGTCAGTATTTTAAAATTTCTTTAAATAATTTCTAGTGAATGTGCAATGGCTGTCATTGTCATGTATATTTGCATATTCCTAATGAATAATGATGTCCAGTGCCTGTTCATGTGACATTGCATATCTCCCTTTGTAAGATATTCAAGACCCATGCCTATCTGGGGAGAGGCTGTTAGATGTTTTATTACCGAATAGTATTACTTATTAAGATCTTCTAAGTCATTTGTATGTATTAAAAATAATTCCTCTGATTCTGTGTCCTGCCTTTTAATTTTTTTCAATGCTTTCTCTTGATGAGTAGAAAATCTTATTTTGAGGAAGCCCTATTTATATAATTTTTTCCTTTAAACCTACATTTTTTGTTTGTTTTGTCTGAAATATTTTTGCCTCCCTAAAGATGTAATATTTTGCCTCCCTAAGATGCAAGATTGTTCTCTTATATGCTTTATAGTATTAGTTTTTATATTTATGTTTCATATTTATGTTTATGAGCATCTCAAATTGGATTCATCACAAATTTGTAAATGATATGGGATAAACATTGACGTTAGGCTAAGCATGATGACTCACATTTGTAACCCCAGTGCATTAGGAGACTGAAGAAGGAGGATTTCTTGAGCCCAGGAGTTCGAGGCTGCAGTGAGCTATGATTGCACCACTCCAGCCTGGGCAACAGAAAAAGTTAGAAATAAAAAAATTAATTTGATTTTCATAAATTTATCTAGTTGCTTCAGATTTGTTGTAAAAATATGTGCTTTCTATTGTCCTTTGTCTTCATAGAAAATCAATTCATCATCTATGTTAAACATGAACATATTTATGGATGCTCCATTTTTTAACATGCAGCTTTAAAAATCTTAAAATAATTTAATGTTACTTCTTTGATTATATTCTTTTCCAAGATTGGTTAAGTTACCTATGTTCCTTTGTATTTCTGCATATTTATATACATCTTGACATCACATTGTTTATTTTTATTTTGCAGTAAAATCTGATGTGATTTTCATCAGAGTTGAAATACATTTGTAGATCAATATAAGGTGGATGGATATCTTAATATAAATAACATATCAATAAGAACATGTATAGATCTACGTTTTCTATTTTTTCTTAAAATTTCTCAATAATATTTTTCAGCTTCTAGATAAAAGACCTACGCATATTTTGTTGCCTTTATTCCTAAGAATTATATGCTTGTGATTATTCTATTGTGAATAGAATTTATTATTATGTTTTAATGATTCATTATTAGTATGCAACAACACATTTTACCGGTTAAGAACTGCTTATCCAAAATGCTTGTCGAATTAATGCAAAAACAGCAAACTAAATACCACGTTTTCACTTATAAGTAGGAGGTAAACATTTGGTACCCAAAAACACAAAGATGGGAACCATAAACACTGGAGATTCCAAAAGGGAAGAGAGAGGGAGCTGGCCAACTGTTGAAAAACTGTCTATTGGGTCTTATGTTCACTACATGGGCGATGAGATCATTAGAAGTCCAATATTCAGCATCACACAGTATACCCATGTGACAAACGTTCAGATGTACCCCTAGAATCTGAAATAAAATAAAACAATCAGTTGCCAATATACAAATTGAAGTTGAATTCAACTCATGCTGCACTCTTTTCCCTGTTGCAATCATTATTACTGATTAAAATCTGTCCTTACCACTTTAACTAGTGTCCTCATTCGTTTATTTTTAATACAAGAGGCCCTTCTGCCTTGCTTACTTACGTATTTCCAATGTTTGCACAGTTTTTGTTCATAGTGTCTGCTTAATAGGTATTTGTTAAAAAAAAATGAGCACATATAGTGAGTTAAAAAATGCTTGGGACCAGAGGTATTTCAGATTTCAAATTATTTTCAGATTTCAGAATATTTACATTATACTTACAAATTCAGTAGTGCTAATCCAGAAATCCAAAATCTGTAATGCTTAAGTGAACATTTCCTTGAGCATCACGTCAGCTCTCAAAAAGTTTCAGCTTTTAGAGCATTTCAGATTTCAGATATCTGGATAAGGAACACTCAACATGCACTTTTATATATTAACCTTGTTTGCTATAAATTTCATATATATATATATTATTTAGTTCTAGTAGCTTTTGAAATGTATTCCTTAGTTTTTTTTCCATAATCATCTCATTTTCAAGTAAAGACAATTTTGTTTTTCCTATTCAATCATTATGCCCTTTATTTTTCTTCTTTTTATAATGGTTAGTGCTTACAGTAATGTGTAGAAGAATAGTAGTGAGATGAACATTATTTCTTTTTTCCTGATTTTATGTGGAATTTTTCAATATTGCACCTTTAAATAGTACCCTGCCTGAAGATTTTTTGTAGATTGTGGAAATAAATAACACCTAATAATAACAGAGAGAATCTATATTTCTTCAGACTTTTTATAACAAGGAAGTCAGCTGTCATCATATATGTTTTGCAGAGACTCAAAGAAAGGCTGAGGAATAGGAAAGTTTTGTACTTGGAAAAGGAAAGCTTTTGGATATGCTCTGCTTTAAGGTTGTATGGGGAAGCTGAAGATGGACTAAATAAATAAGAGGAAATGGAGCATCTTATGTGATCAGTCAGAAAGCATACTTGACTTTCCCTGATGGGTCCTGAGTTGGCAGTGGGGGCAAAAATAGGGAACCTGGCAATCATTAACTAAATCCTGTTCATTTGGGGCTGGTTGATGCAGAGGCTGTGGTTTGGCTTCCCAGGCTGGTTGCTACAAAGATGTGGGTCAGAACTCTATTCTTATATATGGTCTGGCTACCCCTCCTCCCATTTTGTCATTAACTAGCTTGTGAGGCATTGACCAAGCCAATTCAGGGAAGTTTAGAGATTCAAATCTTCACGACTTAGAGACTGTTTAGTTGTCTCTATTGTCAACCATATTATGAGATGTTCTTGAACTTTTTGCAATTTTGTAGTAAGGGCAATCTTCTGGTGAGAGGGCTGCTATAAAAAGGAAGTTAAGACTGTGTTGAATGCAATTGGCCAGCATCATGACTACTATGACAAAAACAAGAACAATGAGTAGTTCCTATAAAATGCTTCAGAAATAAAACCCCAGTTGTCCAACTCAAGTCAAGAGAACAAATCTTTCAGGTTATGACGATCAGCCATAGAGAGCCAAGTAACTTCTTCCTTAAGGCAATATATAGCTTATTCCATCTTGCTGTATTAATCATGGCTATTGTTTTTGTTTTGCTTTGACATCATGAGACCATATGGGTTTCAAGACAGAGTGCTCCTCCTAGGGTTAGCTAATTTCTAGAAATACTAAACAACTTGCCTATGATCATGTTATTTATATGCAAACCAATCAATCCAGAATCCACACCCTCACTTGACTCTTATTATATGGCTCCTGTGGTCTGGGACATTATCCCTCTGCTTTCGTCACCCCAGAATCAGGTGCTGGAACACTAGGGACTAAATTACACAAAAAGTACTCACACTACCCAGTCTTAAACCTGCTCAGCTGCTTACACTGTCTCACTCATTCCTTCCAAGGAAAACCATATTAAATGCTCTGGCTCATGCTTTAGTCTTGCTCCTTTTGCCTTCACTGACTCTGGTACTTCCCCATATGGCCCCAGTGCATGATGTGTTGTGGCTTCTGTTTCTAGGGCTTTATGTGTATAAGAACACGTGACAGTCATTTCTGTCTCTGCAAGTCTCTCCATAATTAAATGGAGACAAAAAGAAATCTAGAGCAATGAAACAGTGTAGTTGTTTTGTTTTTTTAATTAATTTCAACTTTTATTATAGGTTAATGAAAGACTGTTACATGAGTAGTTGTGTGATGCTGAGGCTTGGACTCCCAGTGATCCTACCACCCAGGCAGTAAACACAGTACCCAACAGGTAATTCTTCAGCCCACAACCCCTACCTTTCCTCCCCAATCTAGTGGTCCCCAGTGTCTCTTGTTCCCATCTTAACATGTGTATTCAATGTTTAGCTACCATCTATAAGTGAGAAGATGTGGTATGTGGCTTTCTGTTCTTCTATTAGGTCACTTAGGATAATGGTCTCCAGCTCCATTCATGTTGCCACAAAGAACATGACTTTGTTCATTTTTATGGCTGCATTGTTTTTTGTGATGTATACATACCATATTTTCTTTACCGAATTCTCTATTGATGGACACCTAGGTTAATTCTATTGCTTTGGTATTGTGAATAGTGCTGCAATGAACATACGGGTGCATGTGTCTCTTAGATAAAATAAGTTATTTTCCCTTGGGTATATATACTCAATAGTGGGATTGCTGGGTCAAATGGTAGTTCTATTTTAAGTTGTTTGAAGAATCTCCAAACTGCTCTCCACAGTGGCTGAACTAGTTTGCATTCCCACCTAAAATGTATAAGCGTTCCCATTTCTCCACAGACTTCTCAACATCTGTTGTTTTTTGTAAGTTTTAGTAATTGCCATTCTGACTGGTGTGAGACGGTATTTCACTGTGGTTTTTGCATTTGAATTTATGTGATGATTAGTGATGTTTAGCAATTTTTAATGTTTCTTGTCTGCTTGTTACGTCACCTTTTGAGAAATGTCTGTTCGTGTCCTTTGCCCATTTTTTAGGTGGATTTTTTGGGTTTTTTCTTGTAGATTTGTTTAAATTCCTTACAGATGCTGGATATTAGACCTTTATCAGAAGCATAGTTTGCAAATATTTTCTCCCATTGTTTAAGTTGTCTGTTTACTCTGTTGATAGTTTCCTTTGGTAGGCAGAAGCTCTTTAGTTTAATTCGATCCCACCTGTCAATTTTTGTTTTTGTTGCAAGTGCTTTGGGAACTCAGTCATCCATTTGCCAAAGCCTATATCAAAAAGGGTACTTCTTAGATTTTCTTCTAGTATTATTATAGTTTTAGGTCTTACTTGTAAATCTTTAATCTATCTTGAGTTAATTTTCATCTATGTTGAGAGGCAGGGGTCCAATTTCAATCTTCTGTATATGGCTAGCCAGTTACCACAGCACAATTTATTGAATAGGGATTTTTTTTTCCATTGCTTGTTTTTGTCAGCTTCTTCAAAGGTCACATAGTTGTAGGTGGGCAAATTTACTTCTGGGTGCTGTATTCTCTTCCACTGGTCTGTGTGTCTGTTTTTGTATCAGTACCACGCTGTTTTGATCACTGTAGCCTTATAGTACAGTTTGAAGTCTGGCAATGTGATACCTCTGGCTTTTCTTTTTGCTTAGGATTGCTTTGGCTATTCAAGCTCTTTTGTGGTTCCAGATGAATTTTATAATAGGTTTCATTCTAATTATTTAAAAAATGACATTGGTATTTTGATAGGAATAGCATTGAATCTGTAAATTGCTTTAGGCAGTATATCCATTTTAACAATATTGATTCTTCCAATCCATGAGCATGGATATTTTTCCATTTATGTGTCATCTCTGATTTCTTTCAACAGTGTCTTGTACTTCTCCTTGTAGTGGTCTTTGACCCCTTTGGTTGGATGAATTCCTAGGTATTTCATTTTCTTTGTGGCTATTGTAAATTGGATTGTGTTCTTGATTTGGTTATTAGCTGCAATGATTTTGGTTCGTAAAAATGCTAATTTTCCTACAATGTTTTTATTTCTTGAAACTTTACTGAATTCACTTATCAGTTCAAAGAGCCTTCTGATGGAGACTTTAGGATTTTCTATGTGTAGAATCACAGCATTTGCAAAGAGAGATTAATTTCTTTTCCTGTTTGGTTGGCTTTTGTTTCTTTCTCTTGCCTGTTTGATCTCACTAGGACTTTCAGTGCTATGCTGAATAGAAGTGGTAAAAGTGGGCATCCGTGTCGTGTCTCAGTTCTCCAGGGGTGTGGTTCCAGCTTTTGCTGTTCAGTTTGATGGCGACTGTGGGTTTGTCATAGATAGTTTTATTATTTTGAGGTATGTTCCTTTAATGCCTAATCTGTTGAGGGTTTTTATCATAAAAGGAATGTTGAATTTTATTTATTTATTTATTTTTGAGCTAGAGTCTCACTCTGTTGCCCAGGCTGGAGTGCAGTGGCGAGATCTCAGCTCACTGCAAGCTCCACCTCCCGGGTTCACGCCATTCTCCTGCCTCAGCCTCCCGAGTAGCTGGGACTACAGGCGCCCGCCACCATGGCCGGCTAATTTTTTGTATTTTTAGTAGAGACGGGGTTTCACCGTGGTCTCGATCTCCTGACCTCATGATCCGCCCGTCTCGGCCTCCCGAAGTGCTGGGATTACAGGCGTGAGCCACCGCGCCTGGCTGGAATGTTGAATTTTATTGATGGCTTGTTCTATATCTATTGAGATGATCCTATGTTTTTTGTTTTTGATTCTGTTTATGTGGTGAATCACATTTATCAATTTGCATATGTTGAGTCAACTTTATATCCCAGGAATAAACCCTACTTTGTCATAATGAATGAACTTTTTGATGTGCTGCTGGATTTGGTTTGATAATTTTTGCTTGTATTTTCATCAGAGATATTGATCTGTAGTTTTCTGTTTCCTTTTTCCGTGGTCTATGCCAGATTTGGTAACAGGGTAATGCTGGCTTTGTAGTATGAGTTAGGTAGAAGCCCCTCGTCCTTGATTTTTTGGAGACATTTCAGTAGGATTGGTATCATTTCTCCCTTGCACATCTGATAGAACTCAGCTGTGAATCCATCTGTTATGGGGCTTTTATTGTATTTTATTTCATAGGTTTTTATTTCTAATTCCATTTCCAAACTTCCTATTGGTCCGTTCAGGTTTTCACTTTCTTCCTGATTCAATCCTGGGAGATTGTGTGTTTCCAGGAATTTATTCATTTCCTCTAGATTTGTGTGCAGAGAGGTGCTCATAATAGTCTCTGCATATCTTTTGTATTTTCATGGGATCAATTTTAATATAATCTTTATAATTTCTGATTATACTTATTTGGATCTTCTCTTTTACTTTGCTAATCTAGCTAATGATCTATCAGTATTGTTTATTAAAAAAAACTCTTGGCTTCATCTTTTGTGTGGACTTTTAGATAACAATTTTTTTTCAGTTTTCTGACTTCATTTTTTTTTTTCTTCTACCAGCTTTGGGGTTGGGTCTTTTCTGTTGCTTTTTTTCTAATTCCCTTAGTTGCTATGTTAGGTCATTAACTTGAGAACTTTTGGTCCCCCTGATGAATGCATTTAGCACCATCAATGTTCCTCTTAACACTGCTTTAGTGTAGTTTTTGAGTCATCATTGCTATAATGGTTAAGTCCAATAGGCCAAAGGCATGAAAAAGTAGTTATGGGGTGCTTCTACCATGTTTCAGATATGTTTTTCCCTTTGAAGTGACCCATTCACATAATGCCCTTGGCCTGCTTTCCCCATCCACTCACTTTGCCCCGGCAAAATGGAATGAGGTACTTATTCAGAGAGTTTAAACAAAAACTTGAGGATGCATAACCCAGAATCATTCTTACCTTCTGCCTCTCTGAGGCTCAGAGAAAGCTTACAGTCTGCTCTCCTAAAAACATGTGCATTGCCTGTCAAAGGAGTTCTGTTCTAGTTCAATGTTGTTTCTGTCTGAGTGGGTTCATCTATATAACACTGAGATTCAAGTTTAGGAAGCTGACTCATGTCCATATATGAATCACATTCTGCAAGATCTGCTTTAGTTGTGTTAAATTTATTTTGCTTTCTTCCCTTCTTGTAAGAAACCTATACTATAAGAACTCTAACTTATGATTTTATAATCTGTTCTCTTAACTTTGAATGTACTTTAGGAACAAATATGCATAAACGTTAATCAGTTTCTCTATACAAAATTATTTTTATCTTCTGTTATAATTAAATACAATCATTTCTTAATAGTCAGTTTGTATAAAATCTTTATCAATTATCTCTGTCTATAAACTTTAGGAAAATATGTAAAATCTTGTTCTACATATTTTGAAAATGGTTATTTCTTTATGGTGAGAATTTGGATGATAAATTTAGTTTCATCTTCATTACTTATACTATTTATTGCTTTCTTGTTAGACTGCTCAGGCTGCCGTAACAAAATGCAATAAACTTGGTGTCTTATACAACAAAATTGTTTCCGCATAGTTTGGAGGCTAAGAAGTACACAATCAGCATACACATAGTCAGTTTCTGCTGAGGGTATTCTTCATGCTTGTCACACAGATACCTTTTGTTGTGTTCCCAAAGGGAAGAGAGATAGAGAAACACACAGAGAGACAGAGACAAAGGAAGTGTACAAGAAAGTGCTCTTCTGTGTCTTTTATAATAAATTCACTAATTCCATCATGAAGACTCCATCCTCATGGTTTCATCTCAACCTTTTGACCTCCAAAGGCCCACATCTCCAAAACCATAATACTGGGGATTAGGGCTTCAAAATTTAAATTTGGGGTGGGAGGGACACAAACATTTAGTCCAAAATATTTGCATTTTAAATTAATGACAATCCATTCAAACTAAAAAATAGGGTCATTATTATTGATTTTCAAAAAAAGAAATTTGAAAAAAAAGATTTGTCTCTGATTTACTCTTTGAAGAGAGAGTCACATATTGTAGAAAGTGATTGTTAACAACTTCCCCTTAAAAATAGTTTGCCAATTTTAAACCAAAGAAAATCCCAATAATCTATAGTCCCATACCATTAAGTGTACCTAAAAATTGTCATCCTATGAAATGTATACATTATCTTACAATGCATTGTGAAGAATGCCTAGGATTATTAGAATTACTAAATGAGCAAAGTTAATGGATATAAAATAGAATACAAAATCAATTTTCTATAATTAACAGAAATATTTAAGAAATACAATTTCAAAAGTAAACTTCAGTAGCTACTAAAGCAAGATTGTTTATAATAAAAAGACAATGTATCTCATTCTCACTCTATACATCTCATCAAGAATATAAATTTGAAACACAAAGCTTTAAAATTTTAAAAGCAATTTAGCCTGAATCTCAGAGTATGAAAAAAATTTTCAAACCAGCACAAAAACTGACTGGAGCAAGATGATTTGTAAGTTTGGTCCCACTCATATCAAGAGTATCTGTTCCTTCTAAATCACCATTGGCAAAATGAAAAATCATCATAAACAGCATGGCAACATTTGCAAGTACATAACAATCTATTAAAATTCATGATACAATTAATTTCTGTTAAGGATTTAGAAAAAGACATAAAAATTAAAATAGGAAAATACATAAGCAGACTTTTTAAATAATAAAAAAGTTAAAATATATGAAATGGTACCAAAGCTTATTATTAATTCAAATTAAAACTATAAAACAACAAAATACAATTTCTTTTTTTTTTTTTTTTTTTTGAGAGGGAGTCTCACTCTGTCACTCAGGCTGGAGTGCAGTGGCATGATCCCAGCTCATTGCAACATCCACCTCCTGGATTCAAGCTATTCTCCTGCCTCAGCCTCTCAAGTAGCTGGGATTACAGGCACACACCACCACGCCCAGCTAATTTTTGTATTTTTAGTAGAGACGGGGTTTCCCCATGTTGGCTAGGCTGGTCTTGAACTCCTCACCTCTGTTGATCCGCCCACCTTGGCCTCCCAAAGTGTTGGGATTACAGGCACGAACCACTGTGCCCAGCCCAAAATATAATTTCATATACATCACATTATAAATTTTTAGACTGCATTTATTTTTGTGTGAGTTTGGATGTAGGGCAATTCAAACTTTTATATACTACTATTGGCATACAAATTAATGTGATTACATTGTACAACAATTTAACATTATCTAATAATGTTGATCATGTGCCAACCCTGTGACCCAGGAATTCCATTTCCAGAGACATCTTAGCTCTTGCATTTCTGGTGACAAGTACACAATAAGCAAAGTAGCATTGTTAATTTTAAAAAATCACAATAGCATTGAAAATTTCAGAAAACTGAACTAATTAATGTTCACAAGAAGCAGAAAAATAAAGTGTTATCTACTCATTCCTTGGAATAGTGACACACATATCAGATTGGCTTATTCCGAGAACAGTACTTAGAGAGAAAAAAAAGCAAATTAAATCAAAGAGAACCAACAGGAAGAAAGATTTGCTCTATTAGACATCGAAACTTTATAACATACAGCAATTCAGACACATCTTGTTCTTGAAGATGGATAGTATGCTGGAGTCACCTTGCCTCAGCTTCTGGCTACGAAGTCTCCCCTGAACTCCTCATGAAGATGGGCTTTACAAATACAAACTAACCAATTCCCAAACAAATACTCTATAGGGCTGTCACACTCCAGGCCACTGTGCTTCTGTCCTAATCACGCTAGGGCCAAAAACCAGAGAACCAGGGACAGCTCTTATGCCCCAGAGCCCACTGAAATTATTCAAACGAGCCGGTCCTAAGCTTGTTTACCCTGCTTGGTTTCTTCCTGCAAACACCACAGTCTAGGGTCTTGCTCGTGAATTCCTCCCTCTCTCTGTTTCCTGATGGACCTGAGTTCTTCCCTGTAGTCTCCCCTGGCGTGACATGCTCCCTTCTCTTGGAAATTGTGAGTATCTTTTCAATGGCAATTGTCTTCTGATCTGTTTGCCTTACTATACCTTAGCTTTTCTATTAATATGCTATATATTAAAACAATATTTGATATAGGTGAAAAATTGAGAAAAGATATTCTAAAAGATGGTAAAGCAGAATCACGCACAAAGAGTATGTGAAAAGGAATGAGGTAAATACAAATAGAATGACATGGCTAGTGTGTGTGGTTGGTGGGAAAATAAAGAGGGAAATGATGTGTTTTAAGTTTGAGGTTAGAAAATTAGAGTAAAATTGAGAAATACGGTTTTAAGTTCAAACTATTGAATCTATTAAATCTAGAAAAATCAACAATAAAGTATCTATTTAGAGTAATAACTAAATCTGCTTTTCCTTTTTTCAATTAAAATAGAAACAAATATTGTGGCATTATTTTTATTGTTGTAACCGTTTTGGGCTGCTTTTGAGTCTTTGTTTTGGGAAAGTTTTTATTTTTAGGTTATTTTTCTTTTGTGATATTCTAGACAACCTCTTGTATAAATGTTAAAATGTAATTTTACTACCTTTGAGGCATATTTTAATGTGCCCTAGTTATTAACAAATTTATTCAAGATTAAGTACTATATTTTTAACTTCTTAAAAAAATTAATTTCTTTCTATGCAATGATTGACCTTGAAAATACAAAAGTATGTACAGTATGCACATAATATTCATACTGAATCTAATTGTTTAACTGTTGTTTAATTCATTTAATCATTCATTTTTCAAGGGAAACATATTGAATAATTAGGTAAAAATTTATCAGCAGCCACTGTGTTAGTTTGGTAATTTTGTATGCAAGATAGCACATTGCAGTCTTGAGGAAAGACATTTCCTTACTAAGATAGCTATTAATTCAAATTCTATATTGTTTTAAACAATAAAAATTCAAAATATGTGTTTTGATAAGAAAGGAATTTGAATTTGCCAATAGTTGCTTTCTCATTTAATTTTTAAAAAAGAAAAAAGTCCCTATCTTCGAATAGACAACTTTATTAAATCTGATGAATTTTTGTAAAGTCTGTTTAAGTTGTTTCTGCTTTGATTGGTTAAACAACTAACTTTTAAAACAATGTTAGAAACTAACATATTATATATATTTCAGGATATCTTATAATATTATTTTTCTATGTAACTGTACTTGTATCTATGTCTATATCTGTATCTGTATCTGTATCTATCTATATCTGTATTTAGACAGAGTATCTACAAGAACAAGTAGGTGGGAGTTAGGTCCTAATCCAAGGATTCTCAGTCACTGATAAATACAGTTTTCTCACGGAAGTTTCGTATCTGACTGTCTCTCCACTGGAAATTTCTGTTGCTATTCAAATAGTTCTACAATTTGCCTCCAGAAAATATGTCAATAAGATTAAAAAGTCAACATTTCATAAATTGAAATTGCTATTTTGACCTCCTAAAAATATATAACTTTTATTAAAACGAATTACTATTAAAATACATTCCACATAGGTATGGTAATTGCTTTTATTAGAAAAGTTGAAAGAAGTGAGATAATCTGAGTAATATGGTTTACAACAGATATGTAAAAACAAAGAACACATATCTGTCATCTATATTTATTCAGTTTTATGTGTTATAATTAAATGAATTTGGGTCCTTGCTTCTCTCAATTACGACATAATAAATGATAGAAAATAGATATGTTTTTCCAGAAGTCATTTTATAAACATACTATTGAGTAATGTTTAAAACTTAAAAGTAAAAATTAAATATTTATACTTTAATTTGGAGAAAAAAACTGCTATAAGCCTATTATTATAAATGCAAAGTAAGGAGAAGTGTTGAGTCCACTGGTTGCATCAAGAACTTTTTATCAAACTTAGAGGCACATAATCAGAAAAAGATATGTATATTTGTCCTAGAAATTAAGATTAAAATGTACATATCTAATGACATTAAGAGACAAGGAAAGGTAATGATCTATTAAAATATTTTCCTGAATGAGTATCAGCTAAAATCATGACAAATTCGTATGCAGACTGAAATCCTAATCAAAGCATTAGTAAAAAGAAATGAAAAAGGTCCTTAAAATTTTCTGAAATTTTTATATGTGAATTATATTTCAAAGAAGCTCAATTTAAAATGCCCTCGTGTTCAAAGTAAAAATACATATTACAAATTGTGTAATATGTATTAATTTTAAATTTTATAAAAAATCAGTGAATTCTTTCAAGTTTTTCAAAGTGTTGTTATGGTTAAGTCTAAATAGGAACTATACTTAGATTGTTTAGAATGAAAAATTATTTTTAATTTATTCAATGTTTATTTTATGTGTTCAGCATTCTGATGATTCTTTGAGAAGGAAAATAGTATAAATAGTTGAACATATTTAAAAACATCATATTCATCACAATTATACATAATTTTTTAAAGTTCTTTTGATTTTTTGCTATGCTTTGTTAATTAATTGATTAATTGTACCGCAATTATAGCCATAATTGGAATAGGAACTGGACTGTATGTAGTTTGACAGGTAGAGAAGTAATATTGTAAGATGAGAAGGAAAGGTAACAAATAGTTAAATGTGAGATAACTTTTTTAATGGAATTTAAAAATTGTAATTAAATTTAGAAGTAAAATAAATGCTGATATAGATAAATTTGATAAGAAACATAGAGCAATTTTCAGCAGTATGGACTTATCTTAAAACCGGCAAATGGATACCATCATTTTAAAACATTAATTAGAACTTTGGGTCTGCTTTCCCCCATGCCCTATTAGTAGTAAATTCCTTATTTGCTCCCTTTTAATATGTACATGCCAGTTTAATAATTTCAAAACCCCTAGAGTTTTTTTCATTTCAAAGTTATTTTGATTGTTCTAAATGATAAGCAGAGAGAATCAGTCTTTCCCGGTTATTGCTTCTTTTTGTCACATGAGGTCTGTATCCAGACCCACATATATTTTCTCGAGGTCTTCTTGGGGCACATTTGACCCTATGTCCTCCGCACATGAACAATAAAATTAGTTATCAACTAACATTCATATGACTTACCATGTTTCTCCAAATCATAGCCAGCCCATGTGCCTGTACTTGAGTCAAGAGCCTCAGCCCATCACAGGCTGAAGTTAATTTTAAGTGCAGGGCTTTTCCAAGCTGTGTAGCCTTGTTTGGTATGAAATTTCCACTTAATAAGGTTTTCTTAACTAGACTGAATACTTTTCCTCAGAGTTCTTGAACTCATTGTGCAAATTTTTCCACTTTTCATCTTCTATTAGGTCAGCATACAATGCATTTACAAAATCAAAGTTTATTGTCACGTCTTAATTCTAGGATGGAATTCTAGGTGTCTGCCTTCTCTACATTTGCATAAAAAAGAGGACATTTGGGGAAGACATAAATACAAACAAAAAACAAAACACAAAAGTTAAGTTAAAAATGATAACAATTTGCAAAAGTAGCTTATTTGAAAATAAAACTATAATTATTTAAGGATATTCTAAACCAATTTGGAATGTCAATTTGTTGAAGAAGACCATATTTTTATATATTAAGATTTATAGAAATTAAAATTTTTATCTGAGCATTTCAATATATTTTTATGATAATAAATTATATAAATTCCAGCAGAAAATCATATTAGATGATTATGGTTTATTTAAGGATTCTAGTAAAATCTTTAACATGGAAAAATACTCATATTGGTATACATACAGAACATAGTCATCTACCATTCATAGTTCAAGCTGGAGCTATTAAGAATATTAGATTGGATAACTCAATATCAACATTGATATCCATTGTAAATATATACAATAGAAGCCACTAATGTTACCAAAAAGATATAAAATTACTGAAATTTTTGACAAACAAGCTTTCATAATAATATTTATTTTCTGGGCTGTAGCATTAATTCTAAAAAATGACAAAAATTTGTAAGAAAACATATGACATAATTTTGACCTATTGAAATATTATTAAATGTGCTATTAATACAATAGTCATGAAAACCGTTACACAAAAACAAAGTGTTGTTCATGGCATTTACAGAGAACACACTGGTATGACTCCTTCAGGGTATTTATAATAAGTATGAAGCAAGATTTGACTGAGAATACTGAAGAAAACATTTACTTAATTTTTTGAAACAGCTCTGAATAGATGAATAGCACTTATTTAGGTTCTTTATTCTCTTTTGCTTCCTTTCTCCTTTCCTTCTTTTCTGTCATAGATGAGCCAGGCAAGTAACCCAAATGAGTGATATGGACTAGGTGTAATAAAACTAAGCAGTGGAGAAATTGTGGTAAAATGAAGCATCTGAACTTTCTTGTAAAGGTCAGCTTCTTAAGTCTATTCAGTGTAAACTGCCTCCACCTTATTTGATGTTTATCAAGATAAACCAAAAATACAAGATTGGAGAATTAAATATTGAAATAGTCAACTATGGGAATGTTCTCAATTAAAAAATAAGGAAGCAAGCAAACAAACAAACAAAAAACACATTGTGCTGGCCAACACTGTGAAAGCTAAAGTAACTCTGGAAATATATTTGGATCAGTTACTGCAAATTTATAATTTTCCTTTAGGAAGTAGACAGTAGGATAAACCATTGAAATGTCTCTTTCTTGTTTTGATGTAGTTCCAATACTTACTAAATATGTGGCTTGGACATGTTAGCTTCTTTATTTTTAAAACAGAACAAAAATAGACATCATACTGATTTGAATACTAAATGGGATAGAAGTAATAAACCATATATGGCAATGCTTAGTACATTAGTAAACACTTGATAAATAAGTGGTAGCTATTATTATTGCTTGCCAAATAACTTTACAGAGGTGTCCAAAAATTCAAAATCCCACATGTCCTCAGAGTTATTTCTGTTTGCCAGGTGTCCCTGCTTAGAAATTAATAGGAAGTACACACCAAAATTTGACATTTAGATGTTTCATTCCACTTATTTGTCTTCTAGTTTAAAAATACTTATGAGAATTCTTTATATTTTTTAAAAAATGTTAAATGATGAATAACAAAACAAAATAGAAAGTGTTATTTAATGAATTCAAATTCACAAAACCGCTTCTTATCCTAAAATATCTTAAATAGTTCTCATACTGCCCTCCTTAATAAACTCTACTTTCTTGCTCTGCAGGCAATCACCTGCCTATGTTTCATTTATTTTTCCTGTGTTTCATGTTGATGATTCCTATGCATTTTTACTTTCTTCTACTATTCAATTATGAATTCTAAAATAAATGTGACATTTTTGCCTGTTTTTAACTCTAAATAGTTTTATAATTTCATTATACCATGTCCTAATATTTGATTCAAACTTGAGTGGTTCGTAATATTAATTTGTATTAATTATCAGTGATGTACTATATCCCACTGTATAACAATAGCTTGAATTATATTTTGATTCTCTACTGATAGATATATAGGTCAAATCTAGGGTTTAAAAAAAGTCCCAACAATGCTGCTATAAGCACTCATACATGTTTCACTGTGTATGCATGTGTGAGAATTTTTCCACAATATATACTCAGAGGTACCCTTGCTGGATCAAGAGCAACTGTACATTTTCACATTTTAGGTACTTCCAAGTTTTCTCCAAAGTGGTTGTACAGTGTATGTTTACCAGCACTGTAAATGTAAATGAAATATATCTTTATTACCCTTGGTATTATCACACATTTTCTTATTTACCAGTCTAATCACTGGTGAGATGGAATCAGGATTGATAAACCTATTCATGATTCCTCTTTTCTTTCTTCAACTTTCCTTATATTTAGGCTACTCTACTACTGGAATACTTTTCCTTATAATATCTTTCTTTATATTATCAACAGTTTTGAATGTTAATTCTTTTTGCATTATAAACATCTTATTTTTTCTCCTATTAGCACTTTCCTATTTGTAATTGCATATTTTGAAGAATGGTGTTTTACACTTGTCATCAACTTAATATTTTTATTCAAGTTTAGCTCTTCTTTAATCATGTTTATATCATTTGTTAGCCTAAGCTGATAAATATTCTACTGGATTACCTTCTAGAAGTTTTTAAGCATTTATTTTCTATCTAGTTTTTTCAGATATCAAATAATCCCTCATATATTATACATTTCCCATGAAGTTTTTATTTACATTGGATGAATTTGTAGTTCTTTAACCATGTGAAACATTTCATTATGAAATATTTCAATAAAAATATGATGTATAACTTTTATCAATATGTTTTTGTTCATTCTTGCATATATTAGTTTTTTTGGCTATTAAATTTTCTAAGTGGAAACTTTTTGGTAAGATTTTTCTTTCTGGTTTAACTGGCTATCTGATCGAAAAACAACCAAAATATCTCCAGATGGATTAAAGAATTACACACAAAAATACAACTTTAGTGAAGTAGATCCATATGTTATCAAATAGCTTAAAACTAACTTTTGAAAAAAAAAGTCAATGTGACTACTTAAAAATTTTGTTCAGATAATTGCAGGGATACCAGTTTGAAATAATCTAACTTAAAATCATACATTTATGTACGTAAAAATAAATTTGGTATCAATGAAAACACTAAAAACTAGAAAACAATCTAACTTCTGAAATTATTCTAAAATAGTATAAGAATATATTTTATATATGCTTGTAATGTAGGAAGGGCTCTTTAAAAGTGTGACACAATTCATAAAGGAAAAAATGTTTAAAGAAAAATACTGATTAATTCATTATTAAGCCAGATTCAGGTAACCCTACTACTAATTTACACAATTACATAGTGAATCTTTGAGGCTTAGATGCTAATATATATGAAGTAACTAAAATAAAAACTAATAAATTCCTTGTAATTGGTTTGCATTTATTTCAGCAGAAATGATATATTACTATTTTATTTATAATTATAAAAACGTGTTAATTTTCAGTATGCTATTCTGTAAGTGAAATTATGTTTGAAAATTGTAATGGTGGAGAAAAATTTAGCTGCACTCTACTTAAAACTAAACATACACACATTACAGGTAGAGTCCAATGAGTTTTCAAGAAATTTATTGAGCTATAATTAACATATTAAAAGCCAAAAATATGTAAGATAAATTATTAGATATGCTCTGACATATTTATACATCCGTGAGATCATCATTATTGTCAAGATAGTGAACATATAAGTCCACAAAATGTTTCCTCATGACTACTTTTAATAATCCCCTTTTGCAATTATTGTCTCTCCTAATAAGCATCTTAGCTAGACAACTGTTGACCATCTTTCAGTATTGTATATTACTGTATATTGTATATTGGTGCATCCAGAAGTTTTATATAAATGGAATCATATAAGGTGCACTATTTTTTGGCTGGCATTTTTGCTTTACAGCAAAATTCTTTTGAAATTCATTCATGTTGTTGCATGTGTCAGTAGTCGAACCTTTTTATTGCTGAGCAGAATTTTGCTGTACGTATATATCACCAATTACTTGTTAATGAATATGTGGGTCATGATCACGTTTTAGCTATTAAAGAGAAAATGCCTATGAACATTTATATACAACAATTTCTTTTTCATTTTTCGAGGGGGAAATATCTAGAAGATAAATGACTAGATTAAGTGGTAAGCGTAGGTTTACTTTTTAAAGAAGCTGTCAATCTGTTTTACAAAGTGGTTGTCAATCAAAAGTATATTAAAGTTTCAGTTCCTCCATTTTGTTGCCTATACCTGGTAGGGTCAATATTTTTTTTCACTTTGGACATTGTAATAACTATCAGTAGTATTTCTTTGTGGTTTTCAATTCTTTAATGACTACAGATGTTAAAATTTTTTGCTATACTTATTTGTCATCCATGTCTTCTATCATGACGTCTTTTTCAATCTTTTGCCTTTTAAAAAATTGGGTGATTTGTTTTATTTTTGATTTTTGACAGCTTTTATATATTCTTTATGAAAGTAATTTATTAGTGTGTTGGGGCTCCTTATGACCACTTTTAGGCTCAAAGATTAACTATAATGATTCACAGGTCTTAGAAAACATGTTACATTCATAGTTACAGTTTACTACAATGAAAAGATACAGATTAAAATCAACAAAGAAAAAAAGCCCATGGGGAGAAATGTAGAAGATATCAGGTACAAGCTTTCAGGTGTCCTCTCCCAGTGGAATCCCACAAGAACACACGTAATTCTCCCAGCAACAATATTTGACAGCATATTGAAGTGTTGTCAATCAGAGAAGCTCATTTAAGTTTTGGTCTCCAGGGCTTTTACTGGGCATCAGTCATGTAAGTTGGTGCCTATATGAGTGATTTCAGCTACTCAGACTACAGCATCTGTCAGAGCAAATATAGCCATTGACTCTAAATTATATTGTTAGGATAAGCTTATCTGTTCAAATGAGCACAGCATGGTCCAAGGCCTCAGACGCTGAAAACCACTTGTGCACTGTACTCTAAAGCCAAAGATGTATAGAAACACTGTCATCAGGCAGAATATATTAAGGGCCCACAGGTTATCTTCCAAAAGCCAGCCAAGTGCCAGTTCTAAAGACAAACATTAGTCCTGATGAGATAAACCTTTCTTGGCCAATAAGATATATGCTATTCAAATGTTTTCTCAGTTCATAGCTTTTTAAAAAATATTTTTAAATGCCCTTTTCCATTCCTATTAAGCATAGTGTTGAAAGTTCTAGCCAAGGCAATCAGGCAAGAGAAAGCAATAAAGGGTATTCAAACAGGAAGAGAGGAAGTCAAATTGTCTCTGTTTGTAGATGTCAAGACTGTATATTTAGAAAACCCCATCATCTCAGCCCAGAATCTCCTTAAGCTGATAAGCAACTTCAGCAAAATCTCAGGATTCAAAATCAATATGCAAAAATAACAAACATTCCTATACAACAATAACAGACAAACAGAGAGCCAAATCATTAGTGAACTCCCATTCACAATTGCTACAAAGAGAATAAAATACCTAGGAAAACAACTTACAAGGGATGTGAAGGATCTCCTCAAGGAGAACTACAAACCACTGTTCAAGGAAATAGGAGAGGACACAAACAAATGGCAAATTATTCCATGCTCATGGATAGGAAGAATCAATATGAAAATGTCCATACTGCTGAAGTAATTTATAAATTCAATGCTATCCCCATCAAGCTACCATTGACTTTCTTCACAGAATTAGAAAAACCTACTTTAAATTTCATACGAAACCAAAAAAGAGGTTGTATAGCCAAGACAATCCTAAGCAAAAAGAACAAAGCTGGAGGTATCATGCGACCTGACTTTAAAATATACTGCAAGGCTACAGTAACCAAAACAGCATGGTACTGGTACCAAAACAGTTATGTAGACCAACAGAACAGAACAGAGGCCTAAGAAATAATGCCACACATCTACAGCCATCTGATCTTTGACAAACCTGACAAAAACAAGCAATGGGGAAAGGATTCCCTATTTAATAAATGGTGCTGGGAAAACTGGGTAGTGGAAAACCGAAACTGGATCCCTTCCTTACATCTTATACAAAAATTCACTCAAGATGGATTAAAGACTTAAACATAAGACCTAAAACTATAAAAACCTTAGCAGAACACCTAGGCAATACCATTCAGGACATAGGCATGGACAAAAACTTCATGACTACAACACCAAATGCATTGGCAACAAAAGCCAAAATTGATGAATGGGATCTAATTAAACTAAAGAGCTTCTGCACAGCAAAATAAACTATCATCAGAGTGAACAGGCAACCTACGGAATGGGAGAAAATTTTGCAATCTATCCATCTGACAAAGGGCTAATATCCAGAATCTACAAAGAACTTAAACAAATTTGCAAGAAAAAATACAAACAACCCCACCGAAAAGTGGTCAAAGGATATGAACAGACACTTCTCAAAAGAAGACATTTATGCAGCCAAAAAACATGTGAAAAAAAAGCTCATCATCATTCGTCATTAGGGAAATGCAAATCAAAACCACAATGAGATACCATCTCACTCTGGTTAGAACGGTGATCATTAAAAAGTCAGAAAACAACAGATGCTGGAGAGGATGTGGAGAAATAGGAACACTTTTACACTGTTGGTGAAAGTGTAAATTAGTTCAACCATTGTGGAAGACAGTGTGGTGATTCTTCAAGGATCTAGAACTAGAAATACCGTTTGACCCAGCAATCCCATTACTAAATAGAAAAAGGATTATGAATCATTCTAGTATAAAGACACATGCACACGTAGGTTTATTGCAGCACTGTTCACAATAGCAAAGACTTGGAACCAACACAAATGCCCATCAATCATAGACTGGATAAAGAAAATGTGGCACATATACACTATGGAACACTATGCAGCCATAAAAAAGGATGAGTTCATGTCCTTTGCAGGGACATGGATAAAGCTGGAAACGATCATTCTCAGCAAACTAAACAGGAACAGAAAACCAAACACCGCATGTTCTCACTCATAATTGGGAGCTGAAAAATGAGAACACATGGACGCAGGGAAGGGAACATCACACACTGGGGCCTGTCAGGGGGTGGGGGGCTTGGGGAGGGATAGCATTAGGAGAAATGCCTAAAATAGATGATGGGTCGAAGGGTGCAGCAAACCACCATGGCATGTGTATACCTATGTAACAAACCTACACGTTCTGCACATGTTTCCCAGAACTTAAAGTATAATAATTTTTAAAAAAGAGTAAAAATTTTCACTTTTGAAGAAGTTCAAGTTAATATTTTATTTTACAAATTAAATGTTTAATGTCATATACAGCACTTATTTGTTTCAACTAAGGTCACAAAGATTTATCTTATGTTTATATCTAGGATTTCAATACATTCAGGTTGGCTTTTTATTAATGTTTATATATTTTGCAAGCTATGAATCAAATTTGTTTTTCTATTGCTTATAAATACCCAACTGTTTTACATTTCTTGCTTTGAAAACTCTTCCATTTCTTCAAAGCTGATACTTTCCCTAATGAATTGATTTGCTATTTTAAAAAAAGATATTAACTATATGTGTAAATCTGTTTTTGTATTTTCTATTCTGTTCTGTTGATCTATTTAGTCTTTCTTTAGGACAATATCACACAGTCTTGACTATTTCAAAATCATGAACATGGTATATCTCCCCAAATTTTATCTTTTATTTGAGATATCTGGAAAGCATATAGGTCTAGAAGTTGAAATTTGTTCTACCTATATTAGTTAGTCTTCAAGTAGAAATGATGATGGAAAAGATTGCAGTGATCAAAATTACCTAGGGAGAATGTATAGCACGAAAGAGTAATAAGCAGTTCATGCAGATCTCTGATTTAGCTTACACACCTAGAGGAAGATTAAATGAAGATCAATTTGCAAGTGAATTTAAAATTTTGTGACAAAATTTTAGGAGCAAAATTAGGACACCATGGTGTTACAGAATCTAAAGAACTATTTTGAGCTGCTTTTGAAAAATAAACATAAAAGTTACCAATCTGTATGACTGACTTTTGCAACACTTTCTCATTGAAAACACATATTCTACAAAAAAACATTATTTTTGTAACCTTATCATTTGGGACTCACTTTATCTAGCAGATCTAAGTACTTATACGTTTTTACGTATGTTCCCATCTATAAATTATCTGTTATATTTTCAATGATATTTTCTTCTTCTAATAAAAGCATGCTCAATTTTAACTATTTGTCTTAACTTATTTTGGAGATTCAAGGTACATTTTGTTGTTGTTTTTATTATTTTATTTTATTTTACTTTAATTTCTGGGATACATATGCAGAATTTGCAGGTTTGTTACATAGGTATACATGTGCCATGGTGGTTTGCTGCCCCTATCAAACCATCATCTAGGTTTTAAGCTGCATGCATTAGGTATCAGTCCTAATGCTCTCCCTCCCCTTTCCCCCCACGCCCCAACAGGCCCCACTGTGTGTTGTTCCCCTCCCTGTGTCAATGTGTTCTCGTTGATCAACTCTCACTTGTGAGTGAGAACATGCGGTGTTTGGTTTTCTGTTCCTGTGTTAGTTTGATGAGGATGGTGGTTTCCATGTTCCTACAAAGGATATGATCTAGTTCTTTATATGGCTGCATAGTATTCCATGGTGTATACGTACCACATTTTCTTTATCTAGTCTATCACTGATGGGCATTTGGGTTGGTTCCATGTCTTTGCTATAATAAATAGTGCTGCAATAAACATATGTGTGCATGTGTCTTCATAATAGAATGATTTATATTCCTTTGGGTATATACCAAGTAATGTGACTACTGGGTCATGGGATTTCTGATTCTAGATCCATGAGGAATCTCCACACTGTCTTCCACAATGGTCGAACTAATTTTCATTCCCACCAACAGTGATTCAAGGTATTTTTGATGGGTTGTTTGTTTGTCTATTTTGCATTTCATTTGTTTTTTTAAAGGGAGAAAATTTTGGGCTTAGGGAATACCATAATGCTTTAAACTTCGAGCTATTTCTTCTCTTTTTTCCTCAAATAATGTCATTTTGTCATAGATCTCTGAAAATGCCCTTGAAAACTTCCCATAAAAATCAACAGAACTTACGATGTTCAGAGCATAAGAAATAAATGTCACCTTACAAGATTCATCAAAATGAGCTTAGATGAAATTTTAATTGCCATACTCAAGCCACTTAAATAGTTAACCAAGACATTCTCCCTTGTTTCTACAGTGATACACAGTATTGAAAATTGCTTTGACTGCACACTCAAATTATTACAATTCAACTTTCTTCAACATCATAAATTGAAAGGATATCATGTGGATATTTGTTGTTCCCAATTAGGATTGAAAATAACTTCTGGCCAAATTAGTAGTATAGAGACTTATGGAATGAAGTCAATTTAAAACAGAATTTTTTTGAGTTAATGGTAAGAAAGAGTTTGTTGCAATAAAATTCTTTGAAATTTTAGATATGAAATTGGTACAAAAACTTATTACAAATTCATCTACCTGATTTTTTTTTGTGGCAATGTCATAAATAATAGAAATATGGTCTCATCTTTCCTAAATATTTTGCTCACGCTCTTTGAAAATATTGTAAAATGTACTTAAACTACATAAGAATCTTCTAGTAAAATAAAATGCAACGTTTCACTCAGAAGTAAAACATTTTTAAAATAGTGTCCAACAATTGCTTCAAGAGGGTGACAACCTATGAACACCCTGTTCTAAGTGTTTCCACCCTAATTGGTTTCTTTTTTTTTTTTTTTTTTGAGACAAAACCTTGCTCTGTTACCCAAGCTGGAGTGCAGTCGTGTGATCTCGGCTCACTGCAACCTCCGCCTCCTGGGTCCAACGGATTCTCCTGCCTCAGCCAACCAAGTAGCTGGGATTAGAAGCAACTGCCACAATGCCCAGTTAATTTTTGTGTTTTTTGTTTGTTTGTTTGTTTGTTTGTTTTAGTAGAAGTGGGTTTCACCATGTTGGCCAGGCTGGTCTCGAACTCCTGACTTCAAGTGATTCACCTCCCAAAGTGCTGGAATTACAGGCATAAGCCACCATGACTGTCCTCCCCTAATTCGCTTCTTTAATCCTCTCTACATCATCACAAGATGGGTGTTACTATGATCACTATTTTACAGGTGAGCATATGAGGAACAGAGAGGTTAAGGAGGAACAGGGTGATCTGCTACAACTCTTCAGCAGAGCATTCTGGGCAGGACTGTCTAACTTGTGAGAGGCAAGGGGACTATTTATAGCCTATGTATTCCCGTTAAAGTAACAAACATATATCAAGAATAAATATTACAGTATATTTCTAGCAACCATCTAGAAATAGGAAATAGTATCAGTACCATATTGTCAGATGACAGTAGGATTAAATAAAACCAGAGTGACTAAGTAACTGACCCTTTATTCACTGCATTTAAAAGAAAAGTATGTCTTGGAGTTGAATTAAGTAACCTGGGATAGATCTCTAAAAATCTGTAAGTGAAGCAGGGGTCACATATTAACATGTTATACTAGAAACAGTGTCTAAGAAAGGAATTTGGTACTGGAATCTACATAGGGAACAATTAAATTATCCATAAATGTTTTTTACTTTATCTTGAAAAAGGTATAGTATCCAAAACTCCAGAAACACTGCTAGACCCTCCATAATACGTATGGGCTCTAAGATAAGAGTGGAAATAGAGGCCCACATGACATGTGTATAAATATTTTAACATTATAAAGCAACCTACTCCAATAATCTGACCTGCATTTCCACCTAGGTTCTCAATGGCCCACTTCCTGACCACCACCCTCTGGAGTCCAAAGGAGATTTGCTTATTCCCAGTGTTATTCCTGCAGGTCAGCCAAAGAGGAGCAAAGAGTCATCTACCTCAATCATGTTCAGGAAATGATCAGGTCAAGATGTGGAGTGAGCAAGCTTTTCTCTTTTGTGCCACATTTTCTGACCCAGCATTTCAAGGTACTTCTAATACACAAAGACTATTACAAGAGGGAGGAAGGAAGGAAGGTCAGTTATCTGAAGAACTGAGGCTAGCTAGAAGCCCATATTTGCTGTGATGGGGGCCATCAAATCTCAACAGAAACAGCTTTCTCTCTCTGTTATCCTGGACAGGGCTTGTGATTTTTTTTTTTCCTCCACTCAGCCATAGACTCTCAGCTACATATCCTCTAGCCTGGAGTAGTCAAATCAGCTCATCTCTTTCTCTCTCATACCAAACTTTCAAAAACGAAACAAAACAAACCAAAAAACACTTTTGTTATTGGAATAAATGAGAAAAATGTATTTGTGTTTAAATATCTGTGATACATGGACCATCAAAAGCCTCACTGCTAATGAAGGCAATTATTTAGGTTTACTTAATCTATTAACTTATCAGTTAATAACTGCAATTTATTCTGCTAGAAATTCCCAATGGTATAATTGTTTCTGGCTGTAGCTCCTTCCATGCTTTGTACATCTTACTTGTGGTAGGCAGAATCACAGCTCTCCACAAATGATGTGATTTGGCTGTATCCCCACCCAAATCTCACCTTGAATTGTAATAATTCCATATGAAGAATGGGGTCAGGTAGAGATAATGTAATCATGGGGACGGTTTATCCCATGCTGTTCTTGTGGTAGTAAATAAGTTTCACGAGATCTGCTGGGTTTATAAACGGGAGTTCCCCTGCACAAGCTCTCTTGCCTGCCACCACGTGGGATGCGACATTGCTTCTCATTCGCTTTCCACCATGATTTTGAGGGCTCCCCAGCCATGTGGAACTATAAGTCAGTTAAACCTCTTTCTTTTATAAATTACCCAGTCTCAGCTGTGTCTTTATTAGCAGTGTGAGGACAAACTAATACAACGGGTGTCCACATTCTAGTCCCCAGAATTTGTGAATATGTTAGTTGCATGGCAAAGGAAAATTGAAATTGTAGACTAAACTAAGGTTGTTCATCAGTTGATATTAAGATAGGAAAGTTATTCTGGATTATTCTGATAGGACCAAAATAATCAGAAGGACATTTACAAGTGGAAGGAGGCGGAAGAAGTTAGAGTGATGAGATGGGAACTCACAAACTGCCATTGCTGGCCCTTTAAAACAATTTAAATCTTGTTTTATGACACATAATTATTGTACATATTTATGGGATACAGTGTGATGTTTCAACACGTGTATGTATAGTTTAAATATTGAATCAGGATATTCAACATATTCTTCACTTCATACATCTTTGATATCTTTACGGTGAGAGAATTCAAAAATCCTCTCTTCTAGCTATTTTGAAATATACAATACAATATTGCTAACCATAGTCACCCTGACTCCATTCCTCATTTTAAAAATGGAGGAAGGGACAGTGATTAAAGGAATGCAAGCAGCCTCTGGGCTGTGGAAAACCAAAGGAAACGAACTCTTCCCACAGAACCCCCCAAGAAAAAACCAACCCTGGCAGTATCTTGGTTTTAACATGGTGTGATCAAGTCAGATTTCTGTCTTACAGAACTGTAACATAATAAATCTGTATTGTTTAAGCTACTAAGTTTGAAGTAATTTTACTAAAACTTGAAAGGAATTTACATTTTGCTTTTAAAGTTCTTTATGTTTGAAACTTTAGACAGAGATCAACAAATCCTCAACAAGAGATAGCTCAATTTTTACCTTTGAAAAAGGAATTATGTTACATATCTATAAGAATGAATAACTACAGCACAGAAAAATACTCATAAGTAATATATTATTTGAAATCAGGAGTCTAAGAAGAGAAAATGCAAATGGACCCTTTTCTATGAGATTTAGATAAATTACATGAAAAAATATGTGTGATAAGAGGTATGTGTTCTGAGTTAATACATATACTTATAAAATCTGAAAAAATTGCAACAGGAACAGTAAATATGGAAATTGAAATCACAAAAAAATCAATGAATTTGAAGACCATTTGGAGAAATGCTTATATAATCTTAAGATTAATTTATTCTAATCATGCACCAGTGATAGTATTATAAGAAGAAATAAATTCATTATCATTTTTTACTATATTTATTTTTTAAGACAGAGATTGGTACTAATTCAGTAATGGAAAACTAATTGTAAAATTTGTACTGTGGTAAATTTGGAAAACAAGGCACGGCACAGAAAGAGTATATAATAAAATCATTTGGCATAAAGGCCATTTGAAATGGATTAATTATAGTGATGAAACATGTCATCATTTCCTGGACAAGTAGGGAAAATAGGCAATGAGAAGGCTATGGAGGAGAGAGAAGAGAGTAGAGTCCATAGAGTGACAGTCTTCAACAGGTTAAAAACCTGTACGAGTTCAGGTCTTGAACAAGTGATATTGGATGAAATGGGAGGTAGAGAGGACCAAAGAGTAGGATATTTTATTTTTTTTTTTAATATTGAGAAACATTTGCTGTCTAATATAGAGAAGAAATGTTATTAACTTGCATGGTGGTCAAGAAACTGCCAGGTAAGATTTGAAAGAGTTATCAGTTTGAGGTAAGCACAATAGAGAATAACGACAGAATTTATAATGGAGAGAATGTCTTTGAAAGCCAAAAGCAAAAGTTTTCTTAATAGAGGAAGAAACCAAACAAAGGTTTGAAAAAGCATTTGAATGGAAAGTTTGGTGTAGATGTACGTTATGAACCATAAACTGTCAAAGTTTATTGGTGATGCTTGCTGGTTTATTTACTTGTTGGTTTTCAGAAGGAAAGAACTATAATAGACTGATAACTACAAATTAACTGAAATTGTATATACCCTGCCTCCTCATGATTAGGCAGGTGAAGATGGGGTGAGCAAAATAGTAGCAACCCATTGAAAGGGCTGTTGAAGGGGTTATATTTTCCAGACATATCAGGAGTTCAAGTTGTTATTAAAAATGCAAAAAGAGTTTGCTAATCAGAACATAAGCATTCAATATCTATCACTATCAAGATGTGAGATAAGGGATAGGTAATTGATTCTGTTGGAAAAGCAGAGTCATATAATGATGAAAGTCTGATAATACCTCTGTGACTTGAAAGTGACAGAAGTAAACAGGAACATGAAGCAAAGAGTTTTAGTTCTGATAGTCTCTTTGAGGAGGAGGAGTAATGGCACTATTGTCATTTTTTGAATACTTCCCCTAGTATTTTTAGTGATTTCACAAATCGTTCTAATGCCTTAAAGGACTACCACTCTGGAATATCACTCAAAGCAATGTTCTTGTGAGGATTAGGCTTAATGAAAAGTTCTGTAATGCTTGGACACATGGAAAGCTGACCAGTATTAGATAAAACAAAATTGTTATAGTTGGGAATTATTACTATAGGTATTTTCATCATCATTTTGCAACATTTATAATTTTTTCTTAATGAAATATGTTGATTTTTCAGTGTTTTTAAAGTAAAATTGTATTACATTTAAAAAATTAATAGAGAATTATTCTGTTGAAGACAATGAATGCATATTATGCTTAACATGTTAATATGTGTTTCACATTATTTATAGATTTTGTCTACTGCATTGAAATTTGCTAGAATGCTGCATATGTACAGCTTAATGTAATCACTTCCTAACTATAATCTCTGGAGCCAACCCAGTTACAATAAAATTAACTCTAATTTTGTGTCTTTTATTTGTTTCTACTTCTAGGTTAAATATGGTTTGAGAAAAGTGTTTTAGAAAACTTTGAAAAATCACTGGCTTGTTAAAATGCATGTTCTATTAAAAGATATGAGTCCTATCTCCGGGTTACTTAAAATATTAGTTTTACTCCAAATTGTATTCTAGTTTCCCTATCTTTAAAATATGTTCATGAAACATTTCTCTTCTCTTATGAAGTTAAATGTTCTTTTAAGTTTGAAATTTATTAGAGAACTCTGATATATGATTTTTAAAAAATAACACTCTGAATTACTTTCTAAAATGGAAAGCAACCCTAAACAAAAATATATTACCAATATTCAGTTTTACCTCTGGCTTCAACTTATTTTTCTCTCAAGATCTTATTATTCTCTTCTCCAGCTACCCAAGGTGCAAAAAGGAAAGAAGGCCAAAGGGAAGAAGGTGGTGCCCACCCTTGCTGTCTTGAAAAAGCAGGAGACCATGAAAGTGGTGAATCTTCCATTTGAGAAATTTGGCACTGGACAGGACATTTTGGCATTGGACAGAACATCCAGCCCAAAAGGGACCTCACTTGCTTTGTCAAATGGCCCCATTATACTAGGTTGCAGCAGCAGAGAGCCATCCTCTATAAGCAGCTAGAAGTGCCTTCTGTGATTAATCAGTTCACCAGGGCCTTGGACCACCAAACAGCTGCTCAATGGGGTAAGCTGGCTGGCAAGTACAGACCAGAGACAAAGCAAGAGAAGCAGCAGAGACTGTTGGCCTGGGCTGAGAAGAAAGCAAAGGAGACATCCCCACTAAGAGATCACCTGTCCTTTTAATGGGGGTTAATGCTGTCACCACCTTAGTGGAGAAAAAGAAGGCTCAGCTGGCGGTGACTGCACAGGACAGAGATCCCATTGAGTTGGTTGTCTTCCTGCCTGCCCTGTGTTGTAAACTGGGGGTTCCTTACTGCATTATCTAATGGAAGGCAAGCTTGAGACATCTAGGATTAAAAAACAAACAAACAAACAACAACTCTTAAAAATATTCTTTTAAAACTTCTAATTATTAGGTATTTTTTTATCTCTTCAGTACATTAAAATGTCTGGTGGTAGGAAAATACTGGACTCATATATGACTGTCCACGTGATTTGCAGGGCCCAGTGCAAAATGAAGTGGATGTTGTACCTCGTTCAAAGTGTTAAGCGTTTCAAGATGGCAACAGCAGAGCATTAGGCCAAGTATGAGGTCATTATGTACATGGGTCCTTGTGTGACCACACAGGTCACAGGAACATGAAGCTAGACTTGAGTGTATATTCAGATAGGTAAATCTTACAGATTTTTAAAACTCAATAAAAGAAAAACTACATTTCATGTGTGAACACAAAAATTGGAATTAAATTGGCAATAGCATTGGGATTTGTGCTCAGAGTCACAGTTTATATCTGACCACAATTTCTATATGAATTTTTTAAGATAAAACAGTAAGAATTTTAAAGAAGGTTTCTGAAATTTAAAAATTATAATAACAAAATTAACTTTGATATTTTAATTCCATGTAATTTAAAACATTTAATAGGTATATAATGTTCCACTATTAACTTAACTAGAAGTATAAAAATAAAACATATATAATAAAAATATTCTACTTATTTTTAAATTATCTATAATATACCGAGTAAAAGAAAATTTAGGAATATAAATAAATGGGGATTTTTGAACATGTAAAAATATTTTCTTGCTGTTTTTAGGAGACTTTTAGCAGGACAGGAGCTTACCTCTCATCTACCTCTGCTTGGACAAACCAGTGATGTGATTTGCAAATAGGTTGTAACTTCACAGAAAGCACATCACAGTAAAGAAAGGTAGTGACTTTCAGAGAATTTGACCTAAGTTAGAATTTGTAAAAAAGAAAAGCATTGTCCTTATGCCTAAAGTACATGACTGTTTCTTTTTAAGTTACATGTATATTTACCTGCCCAATTTGTTTTACTCTGTATTTCAAGTTATCAGGTGAAATGGTCTTGGAATAAATTAATGAGTTATTTGTTCTGAATAAATGTGCATGTTACAAATGCAAACACGTGTATGTATTATACAACTATGCAGCTTCAAGAGCTGACTTATTTCTATCAGCTTTTTATTCACTTTAAAAAATCAGGCTACTGAAGCATATTAGAATTTAATTACACCAATTAGTACTGCCACATCAGACATATGATGTGCCTTCAATTAAGAAGTACCTAATGGGTATTAGTACAATTTAGCTTCATAATTAAAGTTCTAAGAACAGCACAAATTAAACATTATGATTACAAAACATTAAAAATCTACTGGTGAAATTAAGCTGAATATTTTAGCTTCTCCTTTTGAGCTGATTTTAAAAAAGAAAATCAAGATTATATAAAATGCAATGTTATTATTGAAGCATTCTGAATTTCAAAACAGAAATTAAGCTCACATGCCCATAAATATGTGCATATATAATGATTAAATGTTTAATAAAATACCCAACCTAACACTTGTGTCATCTAATAAGCACTAAAGGTTATCATTTTGGAGTTTCACTTGATTGGGTTTTTTTGTTTTGTTTTGTTATTTTCATAGAAATATTTGATATATGTGGTCACCACTCACAACTCTTGCTTCAGTGAGCATGGATGACAGGCAGCCCCAGCTACTGTTTTTCTGGTTGTATGACTATCTTTGCACTCAGACCATATTTTCTCTGGCTGTTCCTGGCCAATGACTGAGCATGCTCGGAGTATTGATGAAGGCCATTTTTAAGATTTGTGATAACCTTCCAACAGAAGACTTTGGACTGGAGACTCCTATTGTCTGGGCCAAAATTTCCTAAACTGTGTTTCAGGCTGTGACTCTTTCATTCTCATCTTTCTTCCTTCTCCCCCTCCTTTGACAGAAGCCAGGCTTGCATCACTGAAGACTCCCTGCACTTAGATCTGCTTTTTCTTCTTAATCTTTAACTAATGTTCCTCTCATAACCTTTTGAGTGACTTATAATTGCATAGTATCAGCTTCTTGGAAAACCTGACTTGATAAACTATCCTATTTGAAATACAGATATATACGCATTTAACAATTTTTGACATTATTAGCACATTGAGTATTAAATAGTATCTGAAGAGAGATACCTTTAAAAATGAAAACACCTTCCTATTGGGGTTTTCTTCAAAACAAATAGATTATTTTTAAAAAGATTACAACTATAGCAACTTCGGTCTCTCCTGTTTTATCTACTAGAGTGATTTGCTTCCTCTGCCTTTCTTAAAGTGACTGGTTAAAATGTTTTAGCACTTAGCAGTTTCTTCCTAGTTTTGCAGATATGGCCCTGAAATGGCTTATGAGTAAGGCAAATAGAGGATGTTCTTACTGGGCTAGTGCTTTTATTTCTCTCTTTTGCTTGTTCTATTTTTTAAGTGAAAATGGCATTAGCATCTTATTTGTCAGGCTTTCATTTTCGTGTTTGAGAATTCCACTTGTAGATAACCAACAGCTATAACCTGTTCAGGTCTCTAAAAAATATAGCTTATTGAATGAGCAGTCACACACAAGAAATTCCGTTCTTCCCGTAGTCCATCATGCTTTACCCGTATTCAGCTTCTCACTTCTGTATCTAAAAATACTAGATTTTATCATTCTACTTTAAAGTTTCTTTTTTTTTTTTTTTTTTACTTTTCCTAAAATACTCAAATTTCCATAAAGGAACAAGGGATAAAGCTTAAGCATAACTTCAAAAGAGACATAAGCGGGGTGAACAAGATCCAAACACAGGTTCTCTTGTTGTAAAGATAGACCTTTAACCATGTGCAATCTGTCTATTAAGAAAATAGAGGACTCTAAACACAAAATTAAGAGTATAGTTGTCTCTGTGTGGCTGAAAAAGAGTGAAAGATAACTGCAAAATTATTGATACTGTTCTTATGCTTAAATTGGGTTGTGTGCTTACATGTGTTCATTATGTTAATATGTCTCATAGGTTAGGTATCTTAATCAAATATGCAGTTATATAAATACGATACACTGAGATAAGATAACTAGCAACACATTGAAACAAAAAACAAGAATAGGATTGAATACTGTCACGATCTTTATAAGGCCTGGCCTTTCACTATGTAAATAGATATCTTTTAGTCCAAGAAATCACAGAGCTTACACATTTTTAGGAAAAGAAGAAAAAATGCATAGAATAAATTAATTTTATGTCCTGTAAGCAAAAGTCTACTAAGGTGAATTCAAAATACCCCATAACAGCAAAAAAGAATGCATTCAGAAGTCCTAAATCTATAAACAATAAAAATAGTTAAGCACATAGAATTTACTTAAGTTCAAAAGCATCATGTTCATTAGACTTATATAATTCTTGTAGCGTTTAGTACATCCTGGATAATTCTTATTCCCATTATTTATTGCTAAGCACATTGAAATTTCACATTAATAATATTATTATTTTTTAACTTTCGTTTGTATTGTAACTGTTGGTTTTAACTGATGAAGATGCAAAACAAAAATAAACATTCAGGTAAATAACTATTTTCTAGAAAGATCCAACCTGTAAGCTAGCAATATGGTTTGATTCTTTATTTTAAAGTTATGTTATTATAAGTATATAAGCAATTCAGATAATAGATCCTGAGTTATGATGCATATCGTATTTGCATAAGCTTAATATATTTTAAAGATAACCAAAAAAGATAATGTATAATTAAAACTATAAATAAACACATTACTCAACATAATTACTCCTTAAATATTCAGTCCATTTAATATAGGTCTTTGCTGCCGTAAATGAACTCCCATGAGCTTCTAGAGAGACTCGTTTTATTAAATGTTATAGTCTCTGGCTCTGACCAATCATAGCGCTATAGACACTGTTATAAACAATGTAATAAGCTGCTAAAAAAGCAAGAGGTATTTTTTTAATTTTTGGAATTTGATTTTATTATCATGTTTTCATACCCACACAAAATAATCAATACATTAACATACAACCATCACACATATTCAACAATTATCATAATTTTGTTGTTTCTGCTTAAGGTGTCCCTGTTCTCTTCTTGCCAAATTATTTTAAAAATATATCTCAGAATGTAATTTTATACCTACATACTTAAGGATATATCTCTAGAAAATGCAGATATTTAGTAATACATTTTTGCACAGTTAATTTATTTTTCTTCAGGATCTCAATTCAAATATTGTTTGTTATTAAAAAACTGCCTCTAGCATATGTTTTACTATACATTTAAGAATATAATTTGGAAAAAAAAGTCTGACACATAGTCCATGTTCAATTTACCTCTTCAACTAATCTACTAAAAGGAAAAAAATGACACCAGTACTTCTTACTCTTCCCTGAAGTTATGTTATGATATTTTTAGATTTTGAAATCCAGTAAAGTGTGCCCATTATTGATTTCAAGTACATGTTTCCTAACTCATTTCAATCTCTTCTATAATCAAGTGCAAGAGAAAATATAAAATAGGCCCTATGATTGTAGAAATAAAAGTGGAAAAAAACTAGCCTAGAGTTCATAAAAGTAGACATATAAAAATCTTGAAATGATAAAGGCCATAATCAATTAATTGAAATTAAAATTATTCCTTTGAGTTATTTTTGGGTATTCTTCCAATTTTAGTTTTTTTGTTTGTTTGTTTGTTTGTTTGATGTTGCAAATATCACAGTGTATGCCTTCTTTTTTTTTTTTTTTTGAGACAGATTCTCACTCTGTCACCCAGGCTAGAGTGCATTGGCACGATCTCGGCTCACTGCAAGCTCCGCCTCCCGGGTTCACACCATTCTCCTGCTTCAGTCTCCCGAGTAGCTGGGACTACAGGCGCCCGCCACCACGCCCGGCTTATTTTTTGTATTTTTAGTAGAGATGGAGTTTCACCGTGTTAGCCAGGATGGTCTCGATCTCCTGACCTCATGATCCGCCCGCCTCAGCCTCCCAAAGTCCTGGGATTACAGGTGTAAGCCACTGCGCCTGGCCAGTGTATGCCTTCTAAAAGCAGAGTCTGTAGAAAATATATATATAAATGGTAACACAAGCATATAAAATAAAATGTGGCAATTACTATTCAATGAAAAATACAGGGACATTTGGGAGAGCATAACAAATAAGGGATCAAATACGTGCTGAGATAAATACATTTTTGTTACATGAGTCAGGAGTTAAAGAAATAAATGAAAGATGAGAGATTAGGATATAAAGTATATAGGGTGCCAGTTCATATAACACTTTACATTAAAGGAATTTGAGCTTTTGTTTGAAACAATGGAAGCTATTGGGAGTTTTAAGGGGATTGATATGAAGGAGGTAAAATAGGAGTCTATAGCACTAATCTAAAGTGGTAAGTGAATGGAAGTCAAAGCTATTTAGTGGAGTAGGTTGAACCAAAATTGATGACTAAGTACGTGGTATCTAAAGGAAAGGAAAAGTTTGAGTCTTGGGTATCTGGCATGCATAGTATACTAACAGTGATATACACAGTTACTTTCAGGCTCACTGAATGAGTAGTGGTCAATGAAATACAGAACAAAGTCATGCAATTCACTTTCAAGTTGTGTTCTTGAAACTTCCCATGGCACCCATGAAGATTTCAAGAGTCATTTGTTATTATATCGCATCTTGACTAATACCAAGTTGTTAGAAAAAAATGAAATACTATTGTAACAATAAGCTAAAATAAGTGGTATTGTCTTAACAATGAGAAAGAGCATGAGGAAACTTAAGATCATAGATGATGAAAACTGTTTCCCCTATCCCCACTCCCAAGAAGGGAGAGGTTGGGATTATACAAAGTGATTAATCTATGTGTTCTTCCCAGAAAAAAAAAAGGCAGAGTTTAATCAAATAACTTTTCCAACCTTTAGTATATGGTTCATTCAAACTGTCTGACCTGTAGTGTTTCAGAATTACCAATGGTCAGTGGTTTCTATGTACTATACCTTATATTTTGCCTTTCTCAATGGGCTATGAGCATTACATATCTTAGCTCATTTATCTTTTAAATAACTTTAAGAAGCTAGTATTATTATTAGCTTGATTTTGCTGGTGAGAACATTGAGATGTAGAGATTCAGAGTAGCTAGTGTTTGGTATAACTATGATTTAAATTTAGTTCTGTCTTATTATAATATTAAACAAGTATGTGAGTTCGTAGTATAATGAGTCTCATTCAAAACATACAGCAGTTGCAGCCTAACATCTTGTTACTTTAGGTGGTGACATAATGTATTGACTCATATTGAGCACTTCTAAGTGTAAGTTTTAAGTAGCTTTTTTTCTTTAGAAAGGTGCTGAAGATAATTCAAATACTTTTTTGCATATTATTTTGTGTCCCTGTAGATTGCTAGGACTATGAGGGCAGGGCCATATATATTGTGTTCATCTCTCTATATTCATTTTCTAATGCTGGTCCAAGAAACAGGTTGAGATGCTAAGTAGGGAGGCCATAGAAAACATCATGGAAAAGATAGCATTTATGCAAAAATTTAAAGGTGGTGAGGGATTAAACATGTAGATATCTGAAAGAAGGGAGCCCAGGAAGAAGGAAAAGACAGTGCAAAAGCCCAAGACAGCCCCATATCTGGCTTGTTTGAAGGGGTTCAAGGAAACCAGTGTGGCTGGAGATGAGTGAGGAAGGGGAGTTAACGATGAGCACACAGAAGTAATTTGGGCCTTGATGTACGTTTTTAATTTTTAAAAATATATATTATATTTAAATGACATAATAATTGTACATATTTACAGGGTATTTTAAAACTCACACTGCCTTAGAATTTTACCATCAATGAAAGAGAGGGTCACTACAGGTCCTAAGAAGAGAAGTGACACGCTCTTTTATGTAAAAAGGATGACTGTGGATATTGTGTTGGTAACTGACTGTAAGGGGACACTTTTAGGAAAAGTCCCCTCTTTAGATATTGACTTTATCCAAGAGGAAAACAGTAGTAATTCACACCTCAGTAGACATGGTGAGAAGTAGTAGATTCTAGATATTATAAAGTCTTTGAGTTTAAGCAACCAGAGGAAGGACTTGCCATCAAATGAAATGGATAAGCATAAACAGGTTTGGTAGTAGCTGGGAGATGGAAATCAGCAATTTCTCCTGAGTCATACTTTCTTTGAGATTTCCATTAGGTATCTGAAGTAATCAGAAACTAGCCAGGAAAATTGAAATCACTGAGAATTTAAAACAAAGGGAATTGATACAGGTAATTGATGGTAGAAATAACTTTAAAAAAATTAAAGCCAACCAGGGGACAGTGAGGCAACCTACAATTTAGGAACAGTGGGAGGCTACTATCACCTTCCCTTGGAGAACAGGGATAGGAGGCTGTACTACTGGAGCTGCAGGGAGGGATATTTGGGGGAAGCTGGAACCACAGTGGGCCTATGTAAAGGAGCAGGAGCCTGTAAAAAATGCAACTGTTATTAGGGATGACAGGGAGAAATTGAGACAATATCTAGATTTCTCCTTGTTCCTGCCTTTCATCTTTCTACATGTGTCTCCTATTGTTTGAGCCTAACTGGAAGCCAGCTTTCAGAAAATCTGAGCTACATAATCCACAGTGTTCATCCCCTCTGTCTTATGAACTGAACTGGGCAGAGTGAGGAATGGGTCTCAGGAAAAATAGACCCACTATCATCACAACATTCAGGTGGAAGTGTAAAAAATGCAATTGGATTTATGAGTGTGGAATTTGGGATAGAGATATGGCATGGAAATATAAATTTGGGAGTCATTGGCATTTACACTGCATGTAAAACTATGAGATTGGATGAGATAACCAAGGAAAGAAGTGCAGAGAAAGATGATGGTGGGGGGAAATAAAATACTGAGGCCTGGAGCATTCCAACATTGAGTCTGAGGAATAGAAGAAAACACTAAAAGAGAGAGAGAGAGGGAGACAGAGAGAGAGAGAAAGAGAGAGAGAGAGAGAAAGAGAGAGAGAGAGAAGTATACAAATAATATAAAACCAGGGAGTCAAATGAAGATAGTATTATGAGAATAATCTACTTCAAATGCTGCTGATAAATCAAGTAAGGTGAGAAAAATAACTATAAGATTAACAAAGTGGAGGACAGGTTTAATTAGAGTACTGGGGGGCAAAAATCTGTATGGAAGTGAAATGATTAAAGAGAAAATGCGAGGAGCAAATGACACGGTGACTATAAATTATCCTTTTAAAGAGTTTTGGTGAAAAAGGGATCAAATTCCCTGGTGGTATCTGACAATGAAAATGGGGAAAATGAAGAATACTGGTCGCTTATTTGCTTTTATTTTCTAGTATGACAGAAGTAATAGCTTATTTGTATGATCATGAAATGACCCAATAATGAGGAAAATTTGATTATGTATAAGAGAGGTAAGTATTGAAAAGTATCTGTCTATAGCCTGTGTAGTCAGAAAGAGTTGATGAACAAGTAAAGGTGTAAGCTTGAGGTAGGTGTATAAACATTTCATTTCTGGCAGTGGGTTTCTTTAAGGAGAGATTTCACTCTGCAAGGAGCCAATTGGCAATGTTTGGAGATGTTTTCTGTTGTCACAACTTGTGAATGGAGTTACTACTAGCATCGAATTGGAGAGGCCAGGGATGTTGCTAAACATCCTGCAACATACAAGGCAACCTTTCCAACACCCCATCCCAAACATAGAATTATCTGGCTCAGTTTGTCCATAGCACCAGAGAAAAGACCCTGCTCTATTAATATGCAGGATGAGTAGTGTGTAATTTTAGATACTGGCGTTAAGTATATGTAGTAGTGGGAGTCTGCATACATTTCCTCTTGATTGTTATTTATCTATCTATTTATTTATTTATTGACACAGGAAACAAGGTCATCAGCTGGCATTGAGATTGAAGAAAAGTATGTGAGGGGTGTGAAATGAGGAAAGAATCCATAAGTTAATCTTACATAAGAGGAAGAAGGCAATGGCTAACAAAAGAAAAATGGGCTTGTTTGGCCGCATTAAAGGCACATTTGCTTTTCAAGGTTGTGGTTTTAAAGAGATAACAATCAGCACAATTTGGTTGTGTGTTTTTCTCCCACTGCAGTTTGGGTATAAAAGCAATTCCAAAATTGATGGAGACATGCATGAAACTAAGGCTACAGTTTTGCTAAGTCAGTCGTGTTTAGTAGATAGAAATTTATTTGATGACCAAGGATGGCACAAAATGTTTAAAAGACTGAATATGTGACATAATAAAGCACATTTATGAAACAGTAAATTGCTTTTTGTAAAGGTGGATTATTTGATGTATCTTGAAGGAGAAATAACAACTGTGAATCAAATATTTATTTATGAAATTGGCAGAGTAAATGATTAAAGTTTTAATGATCAGATTGTCATTTTAGAGTAATTATCATTATACGACAGTGAAGAAAAGTTTGAAGAAGTTAATTTATAGAAAAAGGATGCTATTGTTTTAAATTAATGCACTGGTCTAGCTGTGATTTCATTAAGATGATTTCATAACTGTAACAGTAACAATAGGAATATTGAGGACAAGAATGTTGAGGACAGGAATTAAAGAGAAATTTATTGGTTGAAATAAATTAGGTTTTTAGATTCTTTATGATTTATGTTTAAGAAGGAATATATAATTTCTAGTCAATATATAATAATGCAAATTTAACACATAAGAAATATTGATAGAAAAAGCATTCTACCTTAAACATATTGCTAGACCATGTGAGAGAGTTCTGTAGAATAGATTCAAGAATGGTGTGGAAAGGGGTGGTACCTCCTGATCAATTTTCTCCCCTGATGGGGGCAGGTGTGGAGGAAAACTCCTGGGAAATAAAGAAGTCAGGTGTTCTGGTTTAATTTTTCCGCAAACATATTAATGCAAGTCTCTTAGAAAATAAACTAAATAGTTTTTGGTAGCCAAAGAATCATTCTTCATAAAATGTTTCTAGCAGACCATGCGGAGTTGTCTAAAATTGCTTATGAAAAATAAGCCAGGAATCAATAAATGTAGGGTGATGATTCCCAAGAAAATGCCACGTTAGCTGTGTTGCTATCTAAGTATAAAAGGAGATGGTTTGTAACTGAGAATACACCTGAGTAAGTAAAGCAACTGTACATTTTACTTAGAAACCAAATCTAGAAACTTGGACAAGACCACATTCAATGAAGATGAAAGGACCCAGGTCTCTCCCCACTTAACCCATACATTGATTATTTTATCTTTGAAATTATTCAGAAAGCATGATACTGAGCAAAATCTTCAATCTGAGTCTGATTTGACAATTCAATGCTTTTTGTGGGTTCAGATTGGCACTGAGAGCAGGATTGTCTTTTAGACCCACACACCAAAATAGTGAATGTTTTCTTTTTCTACCTGGGCTCCTTTTCAAAAGGAAATAATGGAAAAATATGAGAATTTGTTCTCAGGATAGTTGGCTGTACATTTTTGGTATGAGGTAGTGGAATCTTTGAGGCAGGTTAAGGGAAATAAGTCTTACCATTGAAATCTGGGGGCCATAGACTACAGTCTGGGAGTACGGGTCTAGGGAGTACATGGACAAAGGGAAATTGGGTGCAAATCCCATTGACTGACTCCTGCTAGCATACCTGTAAAAGCTAACCTTTTAATAGGTTAGTTTTTAATAGGAGGAGATGATAGTGGGAGAAAAAGCTGCGAGATTACATTTTATTCACTGGAAAACCTTCTTATCCCTCCCTGGTTTCTTGGAGAAATTTCACGTATCCTTAGAAATGACTCAAAATATTGATTATTGGACAAACTATTTATGTAACCGGAGTCCAAGGACAGGTGATGAGTGAAAACTATATTTTATTAAAGAACAGAGTATTCACTAACAGAAGACTGGTGAATTAACATTGGCATGGATTCTTCAAATTAATGATGGAGGACATGTTGCAATTCTATTATTATCTGATGCAAAGGACTATTCATGGTCATGGCTAATCATTAAATGGCTGTAAACTTTTGAGAAAACACTTCCAAATACTGTGACAGCATATCGGCTGCAGTTGTTAAGGTGAGATTTGTCAGTCCTATACTGAGAAGGGTAACTGCTACTACTCCTCTCCAAATTGCCAATTGGATTCTCCTTTTCACATGATAGGAATGATACAAGTGTAAATGTTGACAGGCTTTATATTTTCCAGAGAGAAAACACCTTAGTTAATGCTATTGATACAAATAATAAGAGATAGAGTGAATGGGATAAGCTAATGATTCTCTGTCTTACAAGACTTATATAACCTTGAGGGCCAAATATATATATTCAGAGAACAGTAACAAACATACAGGTTTAGTTACTATACATGGGATTATACGGAGAAAAAGCATTTATATCATGTGCACAACAGGGAGAAATTAAAAATCAGAAGAGAAAATAGAAAGGCAGCTCACTTGAATTAATTTACTTTTGAAGAAAATATAAATAGGATTTAAAAAGTAAGCCTTGATAGAATTTTTAATAAGAAAATAAAAGCACATTATCAACTTTTGAATCAGAGGAGAGGAGTACTGTAGCCCCCACCAATCCCTTAAAGAATCGTAGAAAATTTGCTTTATTTATTGTGGCTGAAAGAGTTCAAATCCAATTATGAGGATAGTGATATAGAACAGAACATACTTGAACAGGGGGCTGAGTTTACTGCCTTAATTAAAGCCATAGAATCTGAAAACAATTAAATAAAGAACTGAGGTCTGTTCATTCCAGCCCCAGTCATGGATCTGAGGCCATATATATAATAATTTGAACAAAGTTACCTGGGGTGGTATTCAAAGTTTCTTATCATTGGTAGGATGTAGAGCAGAATTTACAGTAGGCCTTATGGAAGGTAGGAAAGAGTCTCATACATGCTCTAAGTGAAATCTGGAGTGCATGAAGAGAACATCAGGGAGGAAACCAAGGTAAAGATGAAGTTACAGGTTGAAATGTGTGGTTGGAGAGAATATTACCTGCTTGTGCTACCTTTACGTAAATACAAAATTGCAATTGTCATTCAATATGAATGGGACATTGTCGTCTTTGTGTTTCCACAGAGGATGAAGACTGAGCTCACTCTTCACCAAATTTTAATCAGCCATGCCAAATGGGATCCTTTGGAATTGCTCAAGCTCTCCACAGTAGTAAATATTAAGCAATGCAGAATTCCAAGGGCGCAATAAGAGACTACTGTTGTAATTAAGAAAATGGTTCAGAAGGAAGTTCCCCTCCCCACATTAACTTCCTTTTTGTAGTTCTAACTGGTCAATAAGTAGGTAGCCCCTGGACATTTACAGTAGAGTATCAAGGTGGTTCATTTGCATGCTTCATCTGTACCTGATATGATGAAGAATGTACAGAAAATAAAGTAGACAAGAGGCTCTGATATGTTATCAAGATTAACTACATAATTCATAGAGCTGAGTATAAAATGAAAATGCATGGATACTTACTCAAAAATTATTAAGAATTTCCAGATAGCTACAACAGAGCATTAAACCAATCTCAGGGGCCTCCTAAGAGTTTTTTTTTTTTTTTAATTTCAAGTAGGAAAATTTTAAGCTTTGCAGAATAGAAACAAGTATATGTTTACTGCCTTATCATGGATTTAAAAAAATTCATTATCACATTTCCATAATCTGGTAAAGAATAACCTAAAAGATAGAGTTCATCTACTACTTTCATGGTATGATGATAATTTTCTTCTCAGAGCAAAAATTAGGAGAGGAGTTAAGGACCATAGTCACCCATATTACAAATAGAAGCTGGCTGACAAATCCAGCTAGAATTTAAGGCACAGCCCAAGGTGCAAATTAATTCCTGGAAATGAGTACAGATCAACTTAGGACATTCCTTAAACTCCAACTAAATCCTGTAAATTAGTGCAGATCAACTTAGGACATTCCTTAAACTGTGAGAAGTAATTTATCTTTCATAGGACCCACCAATAAGCAATAAACTCAGAGACTGTCAAGACTGTTCTAAGAATCTTGTCTACCCATACTCACAAAATAACTGGAAAGAGTTCAGAACGTGAATACAGCATTGTAGTACTTTCCTAGGGCTGCTGGAACAAATTACCATAGACTGGGTAGCTTAAAACAACTGAAATTTATTATTTCACAGTTCTGGAGGCTAGAAGTCTGAAGCCAAGGAGTCAATAGGGTCACGCTTCCTTGAAAAGCCACAGAAAAAAATCTTTTCTTGCCCCTGCCTAGGTTCTACTCTCTCCTACAAATTTTTGGAGCTTTATTACTTATAGATTTATTACTCCAATTTCTGCTTTCATTTTCAATGTCTTCTCCATGTGTCCTCTCTTCTTATAAAAACACCTCCAGTCATTGGAATTAGGACCCTCCTTAATCTAGTAGGAGCTCATCTTAACTAATTATATGTGCAAATTTCTAAAGAAGGTCACCTTCTGAGATTCTGAATGAATAATAATTTCAGAAGAGCACTACTTAACTCACTGCAGGTACTGAACAGAAATAAGCATGAAAAGTATTGTGGTAGGTGGTAGCACAGGCAATAACATTAGGCCCTTATGATCCCATCCAACTGGTCAGATGATATTAGGGCATACCCAAACTAGAGCCCTTTAGGAAAAGTTAAATGGGACCACCAATTTAGACTCCTCAGGATTTTGACTCAAAATATGCCTGTGGCAGCTGTTTGCTATAATCCATTTGAAAGACACATGCTGTTGCACTGAATGACACAGCCAATGTCAACAGGAAGGACCAGCTACATAACTTCTGTAACCCAGTGAAAAATGAAAAGCAAGGCCCCTTGCTCAAAAATTATTAAGGGTTCATTTAGTGAAACCATTGCGTCCTGAGACTAATATGAGAAATAAATAACAAAATCCACTGTGCCTTACTAATATCAAGAGGTAGTAATGAGGGAGTGAAGGAGAATGCAATAATATATAACTTTATATCTTTCCCACCTCTAATACTTTTATTTGGCCTCTAATGGCGGTCTCAAACCCAGTTTTAAATTTACTTGCACCAGAGGAAGATTATACAATACCCAAGACATGATATTTGTGTCATTTAATTTGACTGTGCCTTTTCCGAAAGGTAATTTGTGGTGGATCAAAAGTTCCTTCCTATGTAACCAATTAGGGCTAAAGGTGAAGGTAGCTCCATTATCAAGCAGAGGACAGACTTCTGAGGTCCTTTGTCTGTCACTTATAACATTTGTTTGACAACAAACCCCATGACACAAGTTTACCTGTGTAACAAATCTGCACATGCACCCATGAACTTAAAATAAAAGTTAAACAAACAAACAAATAAAACCCAAACATTTGTTTGGGTGTGCTAGTAAGGTTCTTGTTATTGATTGTGCGGGCAAACATTATGCATGATGAGTTATACAGCCTGATATTGGGAGGAAGCATTTGGAAATAGGGTAAAATCATAGCAGATGGGAAAGGTGTTTATAAGTAGATTACATTACCGTGGAGGGAAGCCACTACAATATTTTCATGCAAACAGCTCAGAGTGAGGATATCATACTTAACTATCTTTTGCTATTGTCATCCAAACAAATGGGCTTTGTTGGTGAAAATCTCTTGGCCTGCTTACTGCAGAAAAGGAAAATTGGACTCCTACTGATTTGGATGTTCTACCTGTATAATTTGAATAAAACAGATGACAAAGTGCCCCCTGACAACTCAGCTTGTGTGTAGTTGACTACAGTTATCACTCAGTTTCTAGGCTTTGTTTACCATTCTAGATTATTTTTTTCCAGAGAAACTACCAATGAATTGTACAGAGCAGAGGATGCTGTAGAATAGAATTTCTGCACCCTATATGGCCATAAATCAAAATGATACATTGCTAAGACAGCTCCCTGGTTATGATAGAAAGCAGATAGTGGCTGCCTGTCTGGTATGTCACAGCTTGATCTGGTCTGTTGCTTTGAACATATCAGTGTGAATGTAAATGGAATTAATTTAAATAATATAAAACTAGAACCTAGAAAGCCTCAGAGAATGTGATTTTATGTTTCCTTTAATGCTTTAAAATTATAAATAACTCCCTCAAGAGGTACGTAGAGGACATTTAAGGGAAGCCTATGGCACAGCCAGATAAAACGGTATCTGGTGCTAGGATATACCTAATTGAGAATTTCATGAAGCACATTATTTGTAGGTGTAGACAATGCTTTCAAACCAGACACATTTAATTAGCACATAATATGAACTACATGAGTGGCAAGTTAAGCAGCACTGGCCCCTTTGCCAGGCATTTTGAAAGAATTACAGGATTTGGTCATGTGATATTAAATCTAATTGAAGTAGTGTTCTAGGAGGCCCATCATTATGATAAAAATGACTTGCTACTTCAAATAGGGACACTAGAGGAAGCTGTTTTTAGAGGACTCAGTTGTAGCAGGAAATCAGTTTGGTTTAAGACAATGCTTGAACCAAAGACACTGAATAAATAATGACTTCCATGCTTATTAACAACACTAGGATTAACTTTGTACCTTTAGTCAGGAAGGACTATTGGATATATTAATCACTATGGGATATTATGTCTTTAATGTTGAGTTGCAGGAATTCATAAAGAAACAAGCTCAACGTTGGGCGCAGTGGCTCACACTTGTAAAATCCCAGCACTTAGGTAGGCTGAGGAGTGTGGATCACCTGAGGTCAGGAGTTCAAGACAAGCCTGGTCAATATGGCGAAACCCCGTCTCTACTAAAAATACAAAAATTAGCCAGGCATGGTGGCAGGTGCTTGTAATCCCAGCTACTTGGGAGGCTAAGGCAGGAGAATTGCTTGAACCTGTGAGGTGAAGGTTGCAGTGAGCCGAGATTGTGCCACTGCACTCCAGCCAGGTGACAAGAGTGAAACCCTGTCAAAAAAAAAAAAAAAGAAAGAAAAAGAAAGAAAGAGAGAGAGAGAAAGAAAAGGAGAAAGAAAGAAAGAAAGAAAGAAAGAAAGAGAAAGAAAGAAAAAGAAAGAAAGAAAGAAAGAAAGAAAGAAAGAAAAAGAAAGAAAGAAAAAGAAAGAAAGAAAGAAAGAAAGAAAGAAAGAAAGAAAGAGAAAAAGAAAGAAAGAATGAATTTGAAGAAGTAAAATTATGGGAAAAACGTGTTTAGTCTAAGTTATGGCAAGGTTTCACTGAACACTGTGACCTTCAGTGTTGCTCCCTGACAACCCTGATAATATGGATGAAAAAGAAGTTTATCTCCCGTGTGTGGAATTCATAGAAAGTGGATGAATAAAGAACAATCCTTTGACATATGTAGGCCATGGGGTGTGGATGGGCTCTTTGACATAATGACCCCTGAAAATTAGTGTTTGTACCAACCTGGAATATACCTAAAATACAGTTCATAGAAACAAATTTTTTTCAGAAAATTTGATTTGAGGAGAAAAAATACGTATTCAATTAAATACTCCCATAGGCCCATGGAAAATGATGCAAATAATTGAGGTTGATGGAGGAAAAAGGTAATTGAGTTTGTGAATGAACATCAAGAGACTTGTAAAGGAAGATGTTAATGAGTAACATGCTTTGTGGAGGGAATTCCTACTCTCTGTTGGATGGTTCAAATCGAGGTCAGAGTATTAGTTGGCTTAAGTGAAACACTGCAGAAAATGGTGTAAGCCAATAATGATAATACACCAGCAATATTTGGCACTAAGATGTTGACCAAGGCCAGAGCAGATTGGGAAGGAAAGGGTCTTTGATTCTTTCTGATTACTGAGATGCCCTGCCAGGATCCACAGAAGGAAGGAAGCCCATTTTGCTTATATAAACATACTAATGACAGCTCCTGACAAACAATTTGTTTTTTTGCTAGCAGGAGAGTGATTATCTATCACAGAAATGCTTTTAGCAGAATGTACTTGGTCGTTTAGAATTGCTTATGGTTAACAAAGTAGAAGGTTGTGGATTTATGGGGCTCCCTGGAAAATGTCACATATACCACATATGTAACTATCTGCATAAAAATAGATATTTGATAATTGAGCCAGGTATCTCCATGTAAATAAATTGTCGGCATACCTCTCTAGAAGTCTCATCTATCTGCCTGGGCAAGGGAGTACCTAATGACAGAACCAAGGATCTAAAGAATCAGATTAAGAGATCTAAATAATTCTCTGATTTGCCCATGCCTAATGATTACCTGAGTTCATGAAATTACTAGTAAAGCTTTATATTTTGTAAGATCTTAGATTCTGATAAGTCTAATGTCACAATCCAATCAGTTTTTCCTATCTCAAGGAATCATGTCCATATAATGGAATTAATCCTGAAACTCTGAAAAGTTTTAATATTCTGGGGTCAGGGTAGATGAGAAGCAGTCTCCATATGACTTATAAACATGTAAGGAAAAATAGTAAAATTGTTGTAAAATTAAAAGAAGAACAGAAATTCATAAAATAAGCTATAACAATCAGGTTAAACAACAAAAACAAAAAGCAAAGCGTCTATCAGTAACATGATTGAATAGAAGAGCCAAGAGAGAGAGTTGTCAGTGGTAAAGGAATAAATATTATCTCATTTGATAGAGTGATTGTATTAGTCCATTTTAACACTGCTGATAAAGACATACCCATGACTGGACAACTTACAAAAGAAAAAGGTTTATTGGACATACAGTTCCACATGGCTGGGGAGGACTCACAATCATGACAAAAAGGAGCAAGACACATCTTATGTGGGTGGCAGCAGGCAAAAAAAGAGCTTGTGCAGAGAAAATCCTGTTTTTAACACCACTAGATCTTGTGAGACCCATTCACTATTATGAGAACAACATGGGAAAGACCTGCCCCCATGATTCAGTCTTCTCCCATCAGGTCCCTCCCACTACATATAGAAATTATGGGAGCTACAAGATGAGATTTGGATGGGGACAGAGAGCCAAACCATATCATTTCACTCCAGCCCCTCCCAAGTTTCATATCTGCATGTTTCAAAACCAGTCATGCCTTCCCAACAGTCCCCCAAAATGTCAACTCTTTTTAGCATTAACTCAAAAGTCCACAGTCCAAAGTTTCATCTGAGACAAAGCAAGTCCCTTCCACCTATGAACCTGTAAAATTAAAATCAAGTTAGTTACTTCCTAGATACAATGGGGTTACAGGGGTACGGGGATTGGGTAAACGCAGCCATTGCAAATGGGAGAAATTGACCAAAACAAAGAGGCTACAAGCCCCATGCAATTCTGAAATCCAGAAGGGCAGTCAAATCTAAAGCTCCTTTGACTCCATGTCTCACATCTAGGTCACGCTGAGGCAAGAGGTGGATACCCATGGTCTTGGGCAGTTCCACCCCTCTGGCTCTGCAGGGTACAGTCTCCCTCCTGGCTGCCTTCATGGGCTGGTGTTAAGTGTCTGCAGCTTTTCCATGCACACAGTGCAAGCTGTCAGTGGATCTACACTTCTGGGGTCTGGAAGACGGTGGCCCTCTTCTCACAGCTCCACTAGGTGGTGCCCCAGTAGGGATTCTGTGTGGGGGCTCCCTCCCCACATTTTCCTTCTGCACTGCCCTAGCAGAGGTTCTCCATGAGGACCCCACCCATGTGGCAAACTCCTGCCTTGGCATTCAGGCGTTTCCATACATCTTCTGAAATCTAGGCAGAGGTTCCCAAACCTCAATTCTTGACTTCTGTGCACTCGTAGGCTCAACACCACATGGAAGATGCCAAAGCTTGGGGCTTGCACCCTCTGAAGCCATAGCCTGAGCTCTATGTTGTCCCCTTTCAGCCATAGCTAGAGTTGCTGTGATGCAGGGGATGAAGTCCCTAGGCTGCACACAGCAAAGGAACCCTGGGCCCAGCCCACAAAACCACTTCTTCCTCCTAGGTCTCTGTGCCTGTGATGGGAGAGGCTGAGGTAAAGACCTTTGGCATGTCCTGGAGACATTTTCCCCATTATCTTATGCAAATGTCCGTAGCTGGCTTGGATTTCTCCTCAGAAAATGGGATTTTCTTTTCTATTGCATTGTCAGGCTGCAAATTTTCCAAATTTTTATGCTCTGCTTCCCTTATAAAACTGAATGCCTTCAACAGCACCGAATTCACATTTTAAGTGCTTTCCTGCTTAGAAATTTCTTCTGCCAGATACCCTAAATCATCTCTCTCAAGTTCAAAGTTCTACAAATCTATAGGGCCGGGCAAAATGCCACCAGTGTCTTTGCTAAAACGTAGCAAGATTCACCTTTACTCCGGTTCCCAACAAGTTCCTTATCACCAGCTGAGACCACTTCAGCCTGGATTTCATTGTCCATATCACTGTCAGCATTTTGTTCAAAGCCATTCAGCAAGTCTCTAGGAAGTTCCAAACTTGGCCACATTTTCCTGTCTTCTTCTGAGTCCTCCAAACTGTTCCAACCTCTGCTTGTTACCCAGTTCCAATCTCGCTTCCATATTTTTGGATATGTTTCCACCAGCACCCCACTCTACTGGTAACAATTTACTGTATTAGTTCATTTTCATGCTGCTGATAAAAACATACCTGCAACTGGGCAATTTACGAAAGAAAGTGGTTTGTTGGACTTACAGTTCCACATGGCTGGAGAGGCATCATAATCATGGTGGAAGGCAAGAAGGAGTGAGCTACATCTTACATGGATGGCAGCAGGCAAAAAAGAGATTGTGCAGAGAAACTCCCATTTTTAACACCATCAGATCTCGTGAGATCCAGTCACTATCACGGGAACAGCATGGGACATACGTGCCCTCATGATTCAGACATCTCCCACTGGATCCTTCCCATAACACGTGGAAATTATGGGAGCTACAAGATGAGATTTGGGTGAAGACACAGAACCAACCCATATCAGTGATTATTTAAGATTTTTGGCAGAAGCCTAACTGTTCAAGGAAGGTGTGTGATGGCAAAGAATAAAAGCTACAGATAATGACATGGCATCAGCTTGATTGGATCCATATTTTGTGGGATCTACAGCACATTCAATTTGGAGGTCAGGGTTTGGGGCTCTTTAAGCAAGAATACAAAACTACAAACTCAAAACTGGAAACTCAAATGCAAATGAGGTGGCCGGAAATGTAAGCCTCATAACTTAGGATAAGAGAACAAAAGCTGATAAACATTTTCTATAAAGGGCACGATAGTAGATACTTTAGGCTTGCAGGCCATATTATTTGTGTTGTAAATATGCAACTTTGCCTTTGTAGTGCTTAAGCAGCTGTAGGCAATATGTAAGGGAATGTCTGTGGCTGAGTTCCTATAAAATTTTATTTATAAAAACCCGTGGCAGCCTGGCTTTGTCTCATTGGCTATAGTTTGCCTACCCCTGGCTTAATAAATCTGCCTCTATTCATAAGTAACATTCTGCTTGTGTTTTGACTTTGCCATGTGCTCAGGGAAGGTAAGTAAAATTAAAATGTCTAGGAGAAGAAAGTGTAAATAACAACAAATTCCTGTTGGCAACGTATTTATGAATATGGAAGAAGAGATGCCCTCTTATCCTGTGAGATGGAACGAAAAAAAGCCAAGAACAAATACAAATTAAAGCAAGCAAGTCTGAAATAAGAGAATTAACATTATTCTGGGAAGTAGAAGACAAAGTACTTCTGCTAGGAATGGGAAGACCAAATATGGACTGGAGTATTTGAAAACTCGGTGGATATTTGGAATATCTGTTGTGGACAAAAAAGAGACAGAAAAAAGGAAGAGATCAAAAAGTCAAGTAATTTGAGGTGATTATAGGGAAAAGTGATCTGGACACACAGTTTGTGTCATTCACAAAAGCATCTGACCAAGAGAGTAAACTCTGCCCTGTGGTCAACAGTTACTATTAAAATTTCATCATTCAGATTCAGGGCTTATTTCTAGTTGATACAAAAGTGGCACCTTGCCCTACATAATGTTATACTTTTTGTTATTCAGAAATGTTGAAGTTTCTATGCATGAGGTTTTTGTTATTTGACATAATGATTTATTTCACTCATTGTGTTTATCTTATCCAGATTAGATAGAAATTAACCAATTTTAACTTTCTGTCTGTTCTGTATGTTTTAGTAACAAGTAATTCAGGAGTGCATGCAAATGCAACATGAAATGAACAGATGATAAAATAGAGTATATCTGCATAAATATAAAGACTTTTCATATGTTACAATAAACAGTATCAAAAACATTATTTGTCTTAAACTGTTTAAAAAATGCCAATATAAGTCATTTTTAACCTAGTATCAAAATCATAATCATGTGAAAAGTAAATATTTCTTTAAGTTTTGTAAAATATTTGACGTAGAATATTTAGCTCCAAATTAATTAGGAGAATTTCATAGTGTCTTATAATTAAGCTGCCCTTAAATACGCCTGAACCTTCATGCAAACGTCTGTGGTTATTTGTCTCCACATGTTTCAGCAGATGAAGTGATTTGAGTTCAGCAAAAAAATTAATAGCTTAAGTTGAAACAGGAATTATCCTAAGGGAATCTGTAGAAATGCATTCAAGAGCAGATGAGCTATATCTATTTCTTTCATGCTTTGGTGTAGTAAGTAATTGTTCATAGCCAAACACTTTATGAAGATAAATGATTGATATAATGAATGACCTGAAGATGCCCAAGAGCACATGAAAACAGAAATGCCTTTGTTCTGAAGGAGAATGTCTTAGTATAGTTATAAATTGAATGTAAAAATTGTGGCTGAAATTATTCTAAAAATCAGAAGAAGCTGCATTTAAACTGTGCTATGGCATCTATTCAAAAGATTTGAAACCATTTGTTTTCTGAATTGCACCCAACATAAAGCTTTCTCACACAGAACAAAACAGAAGTGAGCATCAGTCACACTTCCAACATGCATACATTTTGTTCTAAAGGAACAGCTGTTACTTGATGAAAAGTCGATGAAAGATGCCCAGCATTTGTTTTTAAAAAGTTATCACCCAAACAAGAATTGTTTGGAACCAGATGCTAAAATCGAGAGTGGTCTGTTTATTTCAGTTGAGAGTGGTATAAAAATGTTAATAAGGTATTTTTATGTCTATTACCCAGCTATATTTGACTTTTTAATGTGCTTTTTGTTATAATTGGCTGTTGTTTCTATAGGCTGGCATTATTGGCATTAGATCACTGAAGAGTAAATAAAGTGAGCAAGAATACTCTCTTGTCACCAGATTACTGAGTTGTACTGGAGGTAGGTTGAATGGTTTTACAAATGAATTACAGTGAAAACTTTGAAACACTAATAGTCTCTTCGGTGTTGAGAAATAACCTACTAATCATTAACTTAATAATTATCAGCTCAACCAGGAAACTACACCACCTAAAAGGTAGTTAATTTTATCACGCCTAGACATCTACAGGAGACCATGATTCTCCATTATGTGAATGCCTTGCTGCCCATGTGATGCCTGCCCCCATCAATTCTAAGAAGCTTCAGTCATTTAGTACTTAATATGTAATTTTTAAAAATTACATAAGTCATACCTTCTCCTTATAGAGAACTGAAACTTTCAGAAACAGTTAAAGCCTAATTTGAATATTGCCAAAGCCCTGTCTCTTCTTCAGAGACAACCAGTGTTTCCAGTTTGGTGTGTATTTTCCCCAAATACAGTGAATGTGTGTATAAACACGTGTAGATTTACCTGTCCTAGATATGAGCATTTGCTTTGTGAGTCTGCTTTAAGTCAAGTTCTAAACTATGGCTCAGTTTAAAACTTCTCTTTTTCTATCTAATAATATACCTTAGAAGTCATGCCATGATATTAAGATGAATAATAATGAAATTATTAATATTAGTCAAATTTAATTAGTTGCTTATTACGTAGTGGGTATTTGGTGTGATATATGGATTATCTCATTTAATCATCATGACAAGCTAATAAATTGGCAATGCTGTTATCTCCATTTTACAGAAGAGAAAAAAGATTGTAAGTACTTTGCTCAAGGTCATTTAGAGGGAGAGCAAATTATTCAAATCCAGATATTCTGCTCTCAGAGATTGTATTATTAACTATTATGCCACAATAGAGGCATTGTAGTCTGCATGATAGTCCAACTATTTTTATTTGTAGTTATATATTGATGAATATTTAGAGTACTTTTTAAAATTACAACACAATACTGCAATTGACATTCTTGCGTGATTATCTACCATGTATTTCCAAAAGTGGAAAGGCAAACATATGTGTTTAGTTTTTACAGAATGTAGACTATATAACAATTGTACCCCAAAGGAGATCTTGGTTATACATTTATACCAGCATAGTTTGAGCCTACCCTCTTCCCTGTACCCTCAAAACCCTTGTTAACATCTTATGTTTTGCCAGTCTGCTGAAGAAAAAATGTTATCCAATTGTTTAATTCAATTACTTGATTACTAGTGAAGTAAGAATTTTTTTATATTTATCATAATTTGTATTGCCTGTAATCTGAAAGGGTTATTCATATTTTTTGCCTACTTTTCTATTAAGTCATGTCGCTCTAAGATCTAGCTTAAATGTTACTTTTTCCAAAAAATCTTCCCTGATCTCCCACAACTCAAAACATTATCTTCCTACTTTAGTTTCTTAAAATATTTTATCTACATTTCTCTTATAACACCACTTTCTACTTTGTATAATTGTTATTTTAGTACTATCTAATCAGTCCTTTAATTTCCTTTGGGGACTATTTTATGCTGATTAATCCTTATGACACATATTATCCACATTTTTTGGACAAAATTCTTCAATGAAGATTGATAATTAAAATTAATAAAAATTAAAATAATTAAAAATTTAATTAACTTAGCTTTTACTTTTTTAATTATCATATAGGCCACCTACTGAGATATACAATTTTTGGTCTAAAGTATTACTTTGAAACAATTATAAGGAAACTAGAAAAAACATTTTTATTATTCTAAGATCCTTCAGATTGGAAAGCTGCTTGTTCTATATAACAAGATTTACTCTTTCCATATATTCTAGGATAAATTCATCATCTCTCTAAAAAGTTTCCTAATTTTTGTCATTCAGAAAAATAGCCAATTCCTGTCCTTCATTAAATTTTAATGAATAATCAGTCAATTTTAAAACTCTTGAAAAATTCATATTAAAAAGGAAACATTTATATTATTAAAAAATAATAATTACAAAATGCCCATGTAAATATTATTTAGGGCCAGGCACACTGGCTCACACCTGTAATCCCAGAACTTTGGGAGGCTGAGGTGGGCAAATCACTTGAGCCCAGGGTTTGAGACCAGCCTGGGCAACATGACAAAACCCTGTCTCTACAAAAAATTTAAATATTAATCAGATGCGGTGATGTGCGCCTATAATCCCAGCTACTCTGGATGTTGAGGTGGGAGTGATGGGGTGGGAGTGATAGGGAAGGGAGGCAGGGAAATTCTGGGCAAAAGAGGGCAGGTCCCTGGCAACGGCTCCACCCTCAAGCCTGGAACCAAAGCCCAAAGTGAGAACATACATTCCTGTTTTCCCACTCAAATGTTGCCTTTTACAAAATTACCCATGACCTCCCCTGTCCCCCATCCTGTGCCCATAAAAACCCCAGACTCAGCTAGCAAAAAAGAGAAGCAGCTGAACCTCAAAAGAGAAGCAGCAGCTGGGCATCAGAGACTACGGTTGGACGTTGGAGAGAAGCAGCTTGATTTCAGAGAGACAGCTTGACAGTGCAACTTTGGAGAAGAGTCCAGCCAGAAACCTTCCTGCTACGTCTCCTTCCCAGCTGCCCTTCCTGCTGAGAGCCACTTTCCTTGGCAATAAAATCCTCTGCATTTACCATCCTTCAATTCGTTTCTGTGAGCTGATTTTTCCTGGATGCCAAACAAGAGCTCAGGAGTGAGTGTGGATACAAAAAGGCATGCTGAGCTGCTAACACTTCAGCTGTCTGAAGATGGCAGAGCTAAAGGAGCACTGTAATATGCCCACTGGGGCTTCAGGAATCACAGGCACCCCCCTAACCCCAGGGGCTGCTGTGGGGCCCACATGGAGTTTGCTCCTGCCAACACCCCAAAGCTCTCTTCCTGGCTCCTGTGCCTGCTCACCTGCATGCTCTCTCCTGCAAGATGTGGAACACAGCAGGTCAGAGTGGGTGAGTTCACTCCTTCTGGCACCAAAGAGGCCACTGGTTCCAGCACTCGTGTACTCCAGTTCCTGCCTTGTTCAATTGCGCACTCCCTCCCTTGAGGAGTTGAGAGCAGTGGGCTGAGTAAATGGGGCACCCCCGTCACGAGTCCCATGAAGGGGTCAGGGAAATGCCCTGCTTCAGGAGGATCTCTTGAGCCCAGGAGGTGAAGGATGCAGTGAGCCAAGATTGTGCAACTGAACTCTGGCCTGGGTGACAGAGTGAGACTCTGTCTCAAAATAAATAAATAAATAAATAATTTAATTAATTAAATTTAGCTTATTCTTTTGAACTTCATTCTTCGTAGTGTTATAAAATACATGATTTAAGACAGTGAGAAAAAGAGATAAGCCAATGATGGACTTCTAACAGAATTCAGAGTGGGACTTGTTTGAACATTTCAACCAAATAACAAAAGATTCCTGCAATTAGTTGAGTCTTCAGTCCACCTCAGTTTTCAACATGTCTCAGGTTGCTCTTAACTAACGAGTATAGTTTACTTTGGGCTGATAAATTCTGTGGATGGCAAGAGGTTGTGAATATCCCTTTATAAGCCCAGAACTAATGCTACATATCCCCGGCATTAGTGCCTTATTTATCTAAACTTACAAATATATTGGGCAAAATTCCGGGATATGGGCACAGAATTAATAATTTAATACCTTATTTGTATGGTCATTTGCTCACTGACAAAGATAGAGAAGCAGCTGAAATTCATGATTATGATCCCTAGTTACATCTCTCTTTAAGTCCTTATGTTTGGTTCCCTGGGAGTTTCAGCACATTTATATAGCAGCACCCAAGTTTTTATAATCTGTTAAGTATTACTATCTACGATTAGCTACTGAAGAATCAAGAACCAGTAGTTGATGAACTTGAAAGACAATTATCCTATATAGTGTTTCTTGAGGACACTAATTTCTTGAGATAGAATGAGAGGAAAACATAATATCCACAAACAAAAATAAATTTTGGAATATTATATGCTTTAGCTTCCTCTTGGATATTTACAAAATTATTAGCATATTAACGATTACAGAATGAAGAAACCTTTTTAGCTACATTTAAACTAGTCCTAGAGTTTGAATATATTTCCTCCAAATTCATGTTTAAGTTTAATCCTCAAAGTGATGAGGAAGTGGGGCCTTTGGAGGCAATTAAGTCATGATGGCTGTGCACTCATGAATGAGATTAATATCCTAATAAAGGAAGCTTCTGAGAGCTTCCTGGCTCTTCCATTTCTTCTGCTATGTGACAACATGGCATTTGTCCATTTTGTCCCTTTGCTTTTCCTACCATGTGATTAAGTCATGCAAAATGACATCTATGAAACAGGCCCTCATCAGACAATGAATATGTTGGTGCCATTATCTTGAACTTCCCAACTCCTGAACTTTCAGAAATACATTTCTGTAATCATAAATTACCCAGTCTGTGGTATTTGTTATAAGACCAGGAACAGACTAAAATAGCAAATGCTTTCCCCCATCCCTGACTACTTTCAGAATGTTTAAGAGTTGTCCATACAGTTTTTTATGGCAATTATGAGGCAGATATTTTTCAGGAAAGTGGCATGCATATATGTGAATTTTTTTAGAGGAATTGAAAAACAAAACAAAACACTTGTTCGGCAATGTTCATTCCTCATAGAATCAGTGCTATTCACCTTGGAAAATATCTTAGTATCCTGCTTGTTGCCTTATTAGTTGTTTTTCTCTCATTGCAATCAGCTGTTGCCATGTACCTTTTGCATTTGGTGGTCAGGGTCTTCGGAATCGTATGAATCTGATATCAAATCCCATTTGTATTGCTGACTAGCTGTGAAAAAAGATTTTAAACTTATTATTTTCAGTTTACTCATTTATTAAGTACCAATATTAATATTGAAACTAGAGAAATAGATTAAATGGCATACTTGTATAGTAATTGTTACATAGGAAAACTCTCAATAAATCAATGCTGTTATTATTACCATTAATATTCCCTAGATGTGAAGATTGTCTTCAGAGGAAACATACTGGAAAAAAAATGAGTTTTACAGAAGATTTTCAGCAGAAGTTGATTGGTTTTACACACACCCACACATACACACACACATATTTACACACATATAAATATGTATATTTTATATATATATATATATATATATGCACACACATTTGTTTCTATTTAAAATGAAAAAAGTACGTTAGTCATGTGTGCCCAATTTTCTGATACACTAAAAAATGGAAATATCTTGGCAGACACTATTGATAGGCTATGCAAATGTAAACTTCTCTTGCCTAGTTTTTTATTTGGAAAGTAAAATATCCATGTTTCTTGGTGTGGCCATGTGAATTTTGTGACATTGAAATGGATATCATAAGATAGGTTCCTAGGAAAGCCTTTAAAAAAGCACAAACTTGGCCTGCATGGCTTTGGCCTTTTGCCCCTTTGCCCTTTGCCCTTTGCTGCTTCAGCCTTTCCTATTTTTCTTGGCTGCAATATGAGCAATCATGTCTCAGGGTGCTACAGGCATCAAGCTATCTTACATCATACCTCTTTCTAAGGAAAGGCTATTAATGTCCCTGCATGTGTATAACAAATCTTCAGCATCCCTGTGTGGCTGCTCTTCTTATCCTGTCCTGGCTTGTACTCTTTCTTTTGTAGAAGTAAGTAAACATCTTGCCTGTGAAAACTGCTTTTAGTTGCACCCTGTATTCCTTATAGCTAAACCCTATCTATCTGAAACCTATATTGATACTTAAGCCATATATTTAGTTTGGAGACCAGATTAAATTTAGAGTTCCATTAATTCCATAATAAATATTTTTGAGTGGCTAGTATGGGTAATGTGATATTTAAGCTACTGGTATAGTGTGGTAAACTGAAGATATGACCTGAAATGTTTGTAACTTATATGATAATAAGTGGAGAGAGCTGAAAATTAGGTAAATAAATAGATAACCACAGATTTTGATCTGTTATACAAATACGATAAATATGGCAGAAAGGACTATAAGCTAAGGAGTAGAGTAAGAGAAAGCAATTATAAAGATTGGCAACTAAATGTTATCTAACAAGTGATACTTAAAGGCTGAGATACTTTAAACTATAAGACACAGTTTTGTAAAAATCTTGGAAATCTATTGTGTTTTTTAAGTTAATGGTGCAATTTATCTAATGTGTAAATACAAGTGCTGGTTTGTTGAAGGAGCAGAAAAAAAAAGATTAGTTTGAGTATGGGGAAAGAGAAGGAGATTGGAGAGAGGTTTAAGAACTAAGCATATGCCAGTTTATATAGAGTTTATGTAACAAAGAAGAGATTTTTTGTGCATCAGGTTGTATTGTTGCATAATACTATACCCCAAACTTACTGGTATAAAATAGTAAACTTGTATTATGTTCACAGGTTCTGTGGGTCAGGAATTTAGAAACAGGCACAGTGGGCATGCCCCTTTTCTGCACCTCAATGATGAGGCCTCAGCTGGGAAGATTTACATGTCTGGATGCAACTCAAATAGCTGAAGGCTAGGACAGCTTGGACTGGAGTGTCCACTTCCAAAATTGCTTTTTATGCCCATATCTGGCACTTGGCCTTGTGTATTTGAAGCTAGGAATGAACTGGGATTGTCAACCAGAACTCCTATTCGTGGTCTATCCTCATGGTTTGGGTTTCTCCCAGCCTGCCAATACTGGGGCCCTCCTGAGATGGAGGATTCTGAAAAAAAGTGAGCAGAAGTCAGATTGTCGATTTAGGCCAGGTCTCAAAAGTTACACAGCATTGCTTTTTTTTGTATTCTCTTAGTCAAATAAGTTAAAAGTCCTCCCAGATTCAAGGTCAGAGACCCCAGTCCCCACATCTCAATGAAATGACAGTTGAAGAACTCTGAGGAGATATTTTATAACCATTACATTATATCAAATGAAAAAAGGTGATTTTTTAATGTCATTTAATTTGTTCCACAATATTGACTTTTTACTCTTCTCCATGTCCTGATACTCATAATAGTCCTCATTTTTCTCCATTAAACTCCATCTTTCAGGGACACTTCTAATACATTATTTTATACTAAATTGTAAACTAGAATTAATTTTTGAAGTATTGCCACTTGCAGGGGGATGTATATTTAATTTACGGAATTATAAATCTAGACAATAATGTACATTGTTAGGATTTTCTATCAGAATTATTTTAATTAATAAATGTTACCTTTAAATTTTTTTAAATCATCCTTTTTTAAGCATTTATTCAGTCGGGACTTTCAGTTCATGTACTTTCCTCTAAATTAAAATCAGATATCATTTGTAGAATTTTATGCAATGACTAAGATGGTTTTTTGGGAGATGATATTCATTACCAAATTTTCTGAAAATATGTAGTATTTGCATTATGTCATGATTTCTTATATTACAATAGTTTTTTAAAAAAAATTTCAATAACATTAAAATTATTTCTAAATACGTCTTAATTTAAAGTAGTTAATTTTAAAATATTTAGTCATTTACTTATAAAATTTAAATTACCGAGGTGTGTGCATGAGATCAAATAATTATTCCACATTTGCAGTATTTCACAGTGTTTTGTTCTATTTATAATTCGTGTTCCTTCTATGTGTGGAAAAAAAAATAAGGCTTGTCGTGTTCATAACAAAATGTTAAAACCTTTAAGAAAGAATGGAAACTACAACAGAATATTTCTAATTTCAGTTGTACTCCATGTCTGCCATTATACAGATTGTTTAGAGAATCTCCCAAATTACATTCCATATAAAAAGAAATTGAGTGTCAGTGTATCAAACAGAACCATTTTAAACAGTCATGCGAGATGGACAGAGGAGGTATAATAATATGGGCCCTGAAATGTTACAGTATGATAGAGTCATAGTTTTATGATAGTTTTTTTTTCACTTTAATTTCCAGGAACAATCATGAAGTTTAAGAAGAAAGAATACTGTCAGAAAAGAGGCAATTTTTTTTATATTTAAAAAGTTCCCTTTTTCCAGTCTATTCATTTTTATGCATCAACTCTCATTTTATGTTGACAATTTCATAATAACTATATTTACCTTTATTTTTTATCCATATGCGTTTCATTTAAAAGTGAAAACTTTCACTCAAAATGTAAAAAGAACTTATAGAATTTGCCTCCAAAGAGCTCTACTAGTCTGTCTTTCCTATTTCATCCAATGTTACGACTACAATTCCCATCTATCAAACACAGCAGAGTCAATTGGTAAGTCATTTATGTCTCTTTTTATACTATTTTTCATGAAGTTTCTCTATTTTCCAGTTCTATTGTATGTCACCTCAAATATCCATACAACACATTATTTTAATCTCCTTCCCTCTAAGCATTCCTGTTCCACTTAATCTAACACAATGTTCTCAAAGATATGACAAACTGCAACTCTGTTAAAAAAGCTTCAAAGACTTTCCACTGAACTGAACAGAATTAGAATAGATGATTATTTCAGTCATGTGTTGGTATATAACAAAATACCCCAATCACCTATTCTTCCTCCTTTTAAAGTCAATGTATTATTAAAACGTCCAACTTCCTTTTATGAAATATTTCACACATACCCAAAACTGAAAAATAATTGATACAGCAACATAACCAGAAACAAGATTATAAGAAATTCTACAAGGGATAACTACAGGCTAAAATTGTTTAGCATCCCCTTGTATATTTCTCTATTTTTAAGTACAGGTCAGTGTATAGAATATGTTACACAGCATATGGTAGTGTTTGTATCTTCAAATTTAAATAAGATGTTATTGTTTTCTCTGTATTATTTCAACACATGCTTTATAATCTCACTATGATATTTTTGAGAAGCATTCCAGCTGATACTTGGGTATCTGTTTTTGTTTAATTTCTATATGGGATTTCATTTTATATATATAATATAAAGCTATCAATTTTCATATCAGGAAATATTGGCATTTTTATATTTACCATTGTAAATGTTAAAAACAAAGCTACAATAAATATTTATGGTTTTGTTGTTTATATATATTAGAATTTTCATAGGATACACATAGAGCAGGGAAATTTTACAACTTTGGGCACTTTCATCCTTACATTGTCAAGTAGCTTTCCAAAGTCGTTGTATGAATTTATCTTCCCACTATATAATTGTTAGAGTTCTTGTTTTCTAATAGCCTCATCAAAGAGGAGAATTTCTCAAGTATTAAGCAGTAAAGTAAAAAAAAAGTCATCATTCTACAAGTTCAATTTTACTAAATAAAATATATTTTATATTTTCTTTAAAAGTGATACAAGATGTCTTTCACATTTGAAGTTAATGTGATGATAGAATACAATTTACAATTTTTCTATATGTTAATCAAATGTATCACAGCTATTTTATGAATAGTTATTCATTTTTCTGGGTGATACGACAATTCATATGTAAAATATCGAAAGTCTACCATGAATTTTTGAATTTCCTGCTATAGTCCAGTGAACAAATTGTTCATCTCTGAGTCAATGCCGCACTATCATAATGACTATAATTCATAATCAATTCTTATTGAATATCTGCTCAGTGCCAGTATATGAGTTTGCTGGATCTGTTATGACAAATTACCACAAACCTAAACGTTTAAAGCAAAAGAAATATATTCTCTTACAGTTCTGTAGGGCAGAAATCTGAAATAAAGGTATAGATAGGCCCACTTTCCTTCTCAAGTGTTTATGGGTGGATCCTACTTTACCTCTTTCAGCTGCTGGTGGCTCAAGGCATTCTTTGGTTTGTAGCTGCATAACTCCAATCTCTGCTTCCATCCTCAAGTAGCCTTCTTCTATTTCCTGTATCGTCTCCTCTTCTGTCTTTCATAAGAACACTTATTGGATTTAGGGTGCACTAGGATCATCCAGTATGACGTCATCTCAAGATCCTTATTAATATATACAAAAAAATTAGGTCACATCTACAGTTTCTGTGGGCTAGCATATGGAAAGATATGTGCATATTTATCATATTTTGGGAGGCATCATTGAATCTACTAGAGACAAACATCTACATTTAGGATATTAAAGAAAAAAATCCTTGCCTTTGTAAAGATTACAGTGAGATATAGGATGACACAAAAGAAATAAAATATAGACAGGTGTTGAAAAGTTATATATTTTGTGAAGAAAATAAAGTAAGGCAGGATACACAGTAATAGTGGCAGATTACAATTTTAATTAATGTATTCAGTAAGTAACATTGTAAAAATAGCATTGAAATAAACACATCAAAAGGCTGAGGGAAGAAAAAGAATACAGTTTTTCTCTACATCCCAAATTACTTCTGATTGAATGTTTTTACTGGGATCTGTTTCTGGGAGAGACTAAGAGAGTGACTAACTTTGGATAGATTCTGAATGTAGAGCAAGCAGAAAGACTTGCTGAAAGGTGGGATGTGCAATTCTTGACAAAGAAAATAAGTAGGATTGACTCTAAGATTTTTGCTTTGAGACAAATGGTCGTAGGTGAGAATGTGCATTTCAAAGTTGAGATGTTTATTAGCTTCTCAAAAGAAGACAGCATAAGAAGTTGGATGTAAGAGCCTGGCATTTAGAAGAGAAGCAACAGGTAGAGGTACAAATTTGCAAGTTCTTAGCATAAACAATATTGTAAACCATGGCTCTGTGAGAACTCATCAAGGGAGTGGGGGTGGACACAGAAGTGTTCCAAAGACTAAGAAATAGCATACAAAGACATAAGAAGAAAGCCAAGAGGATGTGTTCTGGAAGCCAAAGAAAAAAAGCTGGGTTTTTTTGTTTGTTTGTTTATGTGTTTTTGTTTGTTTGTTTTTTAATTAAAGAAAAAGAGACTACTGATAGATCAATAAAATGAAAATAAAAAATTAACCTTTAAATTTTGGAACATGAAAATAATTAGTGATTTGAAAGGAACATTTAATTGAAATGGTCAATACTTTTCTAGTATTTTAATTGTAACTCATGCCTCACTTTGTTACCCAGGTTGGACTGGACTCCTGGCCTCACATTTTCAAATAATTAATGCTTATTTAGATTTACCCTTACATTTAACAGGTTTACAGTTGCCCCTTGCTTCTCACACTTGTCTTTTTTAGTGTTTTCTTTTTTCTTTCTTTGTTACTTTAAAAAGGGTTGTTCAATGAATCCATGAGTGTGCTTTCTTAAAATTTTGTAGACCCAAAAAGTCTCAGCACTGTGTATAGTATTCTATCTTGCACTGTATATTTTGCATTTGGAACTTGGTATGCCATTGCATTATTGTATTAGTTTTTCAGTGAACTAGCTTCTTTTTAAAATATTCACCAAATCAGTGTTCTTTCTAGTTTGGATTTATTTTTATCAATTCTGTTCAGAACTTGTCCAATTCCTGAATGTGAAAATTTTTTTTCTTTAATGACTTATAGAAAATTTCCAGTTATTACCTCTAGATATTGCCTCAATACCATCTTAAATGCACCCAAAGTATCTAATATAATAATAATTTTTGTCCATCTTGCTCTATATTGATAACTTTATTTCTCTGTGATATATATTTATTATATTAATTTTAATCATCCATATCTCATAGGTTTTTAAATTCAATTACTATATTTTTATTTTTGGATATCCTTTGCCAAATCTGCTCTTCATTTCTTTTTAAATGTCTTTAGTGTTTATGTATGTTCATTACATATTATTAATTTTATAATTTTTTTCAAATTATTCATCTATTTTTACACATACTTTTAATTCTGCTGTTTTACATCTGCTGACTCTTATTGCTGGTTTTTTTTTTTTTTTTTTGAGACAGAGTCTCACTTTGTTGCCCAAGCTGGGTTGCAATGGTGCAATATCAGCTTGCTGCAACTTCCGCCTCCCAGGTTCAAGCAATTCTCCTATTTCAGCCTCCCAAATATCTGGGATTATAGGCGCCTGCCACCATGCCTGGCTAATTTTTTGTATTTTTAGTAGAGACGGGGTTTTGCCATGTTGGCCTGGCTGGTCTTGAACTCCTGACCTCAGGTGATCCACCCGCCTCAGCCTCCGAAATTGTTGGGATTACGGGCGTGAGCCACCGCGCCTGGCATGTATATTATTTTTCATTGTGTATTTTGTAATTTTTGTTTGTGAATTTATTTTTAATATAGTTTTCAATTTAACTTGTTAGTTTCTGTAGTGGCAAATCCTTGTGTTTGCAATATTGGATTATTTCTCCATAAGAGTTTCACATTTCTTCTGCTAGGAAATCCATGGGGAATATTGGAATTGGGCTAGTTTTTATTTTATTTCTAATGTTTAAAGTTTCTGAAAAATATTGGCGTTAAAAAATTCTACTTCAATCCTGAGTAAAGAATAAAGTGCTAGTGACAAATTCCCAGTTGTGTTTTCCTTTCTTAATATTTGAGAGCCACAGCAAATGTTGCATACCCTTTGATGTTAAGCAGAAACTTTTGTCTAGACATTGACTTCAGGCTTTAAAATATGTAGTATCTCCCCCAGATTAAAGGTAACTAGTCCCTGATTTCTATTAAAATATAATCTTTAGAAGCTTAAAATCATAGCTCTCAGACAAATATAAAATGAATAGGTTTTAAAGATATTAACTTGAATTAATAAATAACAAATAGATGTTTTAAATGACACAAAGGGAATCTGAGAAACTGGGACATTTAGAAGCAATTTAGCAAAATAACATTAAGATTGCTTGGTTAAATAAATAAATATAGATTGATATATAACAGTGTCATAAATCTGTGAGGTTATCTGTTCTACTAAGGAGATATATTTGTATCTTTACAGGAAAAAAAATTCATGGTGCAAAATCCCTTTACTAAATCTGGTACCTTTAATTATTATTGTATAGCACTTAAGTATAGGAACTTGAATATAGCCAATATATTCCTAAAGATCTAAATTACTCTCCAAATAAAATGCTTTTTGTACATAATTTTTTCTATTCCCATTAATTATCTTTCACAGTTTTATTTTGTTTTGATTTTTTCATTTGTTCCTTCCCCCTCCCCTTGGCATTCAGTTAATTCTATTTTCTTTCCCAAACAGGCACATTATCATTAAATGTAATGGTTGGCTGAATCATAACCACATTTAAATATTGCTCTGTTTTGCCATTTGTTTTTCTTCCTTCTTTCTTTCCTTTCTTCGTTCTTGCTTTTCTTGGCAAGCTTATGAAGTTTTATTTGTGTAATTGCTACACAAAGAAACTTCATTGTGTTTGTATTTGCCCTTCAATTGGATCATAAATGCCTTGGTGGCAATGAATGTACATAGCTATTTCTGCATCCTAAGTAGCATATATGTAGGTTTTGAATACAGGATTGATAAATGTTTGTCTTGTGAAATTAAAATAATTACTGATGTCTACATATTGTTTCCAGCTTGCTTCTCTGTTGTTTCCTCTTTAGATATGCTAGATAACCACTTCAATATGATTCTTCTTATGTAAAACCTCATATATTCTCAAAAGTATTATGTATGTATTCAACTAACTGTACATCTACAGTACAGTAAAAAATGAGATTGTAGTAAGTGAAAATGCATTTATAAGTATAGGCAAATTTTTAGGCAAGACACCTCATAAAGATCACTTTAGAAATTAGATCAAGTAAAAATAAGTCACAAAAAGAAACGTGAATTAGTCATCTTAAACATTGTTTTAGGCAGTAAAACAACATTGAAAAAAGAGGATCTTGTAAAGCCTGATACTTGATTCCTATAGGATAACTGAATCAAATCAGATGTTTTAGAGGTAATGGTCACCTGATTGTTTTCTCTTGAGTTTTTTCATATAATAGGTGCAGCGGTTCTTGCAATGAGGAATTTTTTTATGGAAATGTGAAATAAAGTACAGAAATTCCTAATGAAAACCTGTCTTTTAAGTGGATCTCTAAATTCTAAGAAAGTGCTTATATTATCTTAGTTATTTAGCTATTAGCCTGTCAATCATTAGGAAAGTAAGAGCAATTTGCAAAGCATCTACCACTGTGCTAGTACTTGCTCACATGTTCTCATCCACCTAAGGGACTATTCAAAGCATCTTAATAGTTGCTACTAATTCATATAATTTAATTAATAGAATAGCAAATACATTCTCATCTTATTTCACATTTTTAACATACACAAGATATAGCTATTTTATAGTGATTAGGTTTAGTAAAAATAACACTGATAAAACTCAACTGTTAGCATGTACAGTTTTAGGCTACGTATTTTTCAAAACAACAAAATATAATTTTTTTAGACTCAACTTGAAATTTTGTAAAAAATAAAGTTTCAGAAATAGTAAACTATCACAGAACAAGAAGCATAATAGAAAGTAGAAATTGTTTTACTATAAAAAATACTATAAATAAAAGGGCTAAATGTTTCTTAATATTCGTATACTGATACCAAATATTAGATGCCTTGAGTCACTAAATTAAATTGTCCCTAAATATTACATTTATTATTTAAAATGTTAATGTTGCTTACAAACCTCAACAGATATTTTTGCCAACTTATAGATGGGAGAATTTAAAAAAGATGTTGGTGTTTTTAAAAATAGCTTTTAGAAAAGCAACAAAGTGATTTTATGTCTGGAGGTGAAGACCCTTGGAGGAATTTTTCTCATGGACTGTCAAAATATATACCCAAACCATAAGTGGATGTCTGAATAATAATTCATTTACTTTTATTTGATTTGTCAGGTTTTATTTTTCAAAACAAGAGTCAGAATAAGTGATGTCTTTTAGTTGGACTTGTTTCTATTGTTTATTAACATATCCAAGGAACACGTAGAATGAATTGGCAGAATATAATCATATTATCAAATAATTATTAGTTTAGTCAGTTTCATAAACCTAGATAATCAAATGAAAATACATAATAATATAATTATGTCATAATTTTTATCAAAATTTTAAAATTAATGAATTAAATCCAGCTACCAAAGATAAGGGTTTGTGAAAAGCAGATACAATACTAGAGTGGAGGTTGTAATGAAAACTCAGAATGGGCTATAGTATTAAAAAAATAGTAAAGACCTCCAGTATTTTTTTTTCTCAAAATGGCAGATTAGAGTCATTGTTAGCATGCCTCTCCTATTTGGAAAGACAGAATTGTGTGTGGAGATTCACACTGTAAATTTTTTCCAAGAAGCAACACAGAAAATTAACAGGAAAACTGAAAGAAAGCACAGACTTTTTGAAAGAAGTGTCAGGTTGCTGTCTAAAATCATGAGCCAGGAGGAAAACTTTAAGTCCCTAGAATGTCAGATAGGGATAAACTGCCTCTAGGACATATACTCCTACTGGGGAACCAAGCAATCCAGGCCACAGGGAAAGGCCTTAATCCCACCCAGCGCTGGAGCTGATTTAGTGAGCAGTGGGGCATATATGAGAAGTAGCAGCATGGGGACGGGCTTGGTGTGCATGCCCAGCAGGACAGAGGAAAGCCATCCCTGATCCTATCTCACAGGGGACCTCACAGAAGTCAGCCAGGTAACTCAGGCAGTGGTCACAGGTTGAGAGAAGCTCTCAACTGAGATTCGTGATATAATCTCGAGTGGAGACAAACCTCCTTGGTCAGAACCATGGGGCAGATGGGAAATGTGCTGCAGCCATAGGTGCAAGAGCTGGGTGCCCCTGCTTCATGGGCCAACTAGGAGAGGCGTGACCTGGAAGCCATGGTTGCAGTCTCTTCTGGGAAGTCTTATGGCCTTGGGCAGTGTTGAGTTCTGAGTGTTGACTGCTTGGAACCAAGCTGCTGCGAGTGGGACACTGCAGGTGCAAGACCTGCTTTGCCAAGTGTGTGGGAGCTGAGTGGGGCTAACTGCTGCCTGCTGCTCCCTATTCCTCATACAGATGCTTCTCTGCAGCAGAGGCAGCTGTGGTACTCCCTGCAACATTACTCCTACAGCCAGAGGACCACTATCTGATCCCCACTGGGGACAGTGCTTTTGCCCACACATGGCAGACAAAAGAGAGCTAGAATGTGAACTTGCCTGATTCAGCCCCCAGCTGGCTTTGCCCCTCCATCTGCCCTGGTAGCTTAACACAAAGAATAGAAAATTTTGAGAGCTCAATGGCCCTGCCCATTGCCTGAGTCATCAGCTTACCTCCCCTGCGTAACATAAGGCAAGCACAAATCCCACTGCTACCAGCTGGTGCTCTTTTTCAAGTGCCACCTTGTGGCTGGAGTCCTACTGACACAATCCATTACAGCATCTGCAGGCACACTAACAGTGCACAGGAAAGAGAAAACTTGTGTGTGACCTAAGCTATCACCTTTGCCTATATAACCTTGGCTAACTAGGAGGTCCTGAGTCTGTCCATGCGACCAGTTCATTACTACTACAGGTGGCATTACAGAAAAACCAATGCACCAAGACTACTTATAATCAAGAAATCTCACAGAGTCTATGTCATTCTCCTGTCACCCCCATGAGAGCTGTTGTTGCTACTCACTACGGAGTCTTGAGAACAGGTCACATCACTGGACCCCTTGTAGACATTTCCCAGCACCAACCTGGAGTGTGGCAGTCCCACTAGGTGGCTAGAGCCAGAGAAGTAGCAGCATTCATACTAGTCTGGCCCTCAGGGACTCCTACTCTTAGGATAAGGGGGAGTGCACATCAGTGGCACACCCCATGGAAAAAAGAATCTAGATGGCAGGACTTGAGTCCAGAACTTCCCACCTGTGGAAAGTTTCTTTCAGTAGAGGCACAGGTACAGTGCTGGACTTGGGAAAATCTACAGAACGGTCTTGAAGAAAAAGACTTTCCCCCCTCATTCACCACTGCAGACACAGCTGGTGCTTCTCTTATGGGAATTTAGCATGAGTGGACCTGTAGATAGCCTTTCTGGAACACTTCAAGTTAACTGCGTCCCCAGAGGAGGAGTCCCCTCTAGATTCAGATTTGCATAAGGCATAGAATCACAATCTCTCTCTACTTGGAACGTGAGAATTC